>NC_000010.11:87870368-88173398 GCF_000001405.40 Homo sapiens | reverse complement strand
CATACTACAAGGCTATAGTAACCAAAATAGTATGGTAATGGTACAGAAACAGACATGTAGACCAAAGAAATAGACTAGAGAACCCAGAAATAAGTCAATGCATTCACAGCCAACTGCTTTTTAACAAAGGCACCAAGAAAATGCATTGAAGAAAGGACAGCTTCTTCAATAAATGGTGATGGAAAAACTGGGTATCAGTGAAATTAGATTTCTATCCCTCACCATATACAAAAATCCACTCGGCCGGGCGCGGTGGCTTATGCCTGTAATCCCAGCACTTTGGGAGGCTGAGGTGGGTTGATCACAAGGTCAGGAGATCGAGACCACCCTGGCTAACATGGTGAAACCCTGTCTCTACTAAAAAAATACAAAAAATTGGCTGGGCGTGGTGGTGGGTGCCTGTAGTCCCAGCTAGTGGGGAGGCTGAGGCAGGAGAATGGCATGAACCCGGGAGGTGGAGGTTGCAGTGAGCCGAGATCACACCACTGCACTCCAGCCTGGGCGACAGAGCGAGACTCCATCTAAAAAAAAAAAAAAAAAAAAAAAAAAAAAAAAACAACTCAAAATGCACAGAAGTTTAAATGTAAGACCCCAAACTATTAAACTCTTAGAAGAAAACATAGGAGACATGCTTCAGGACATTAGTCTTGATAAAGATTTTATGAGTAAGACTTCAAAAGCACAGGCAACAAAAGCAAACATAGATAAATGGGACTATATCACTCTAAAAAGTTTCTGCATAGGCAAGGAAGCAATCCACAGAGTGAAGAGACAACCCGTAGAATGAGAGAAAATATTTGCAATCTATTTATCCAACAAGGGACTAATGTCTAGAATATATAAGAAATTCAAACAACAGTAAAAAAATACAAATAATCCAGTCTAAAAATGGAGAAAGGATCTGAATAGACCTTTCTCAAATGAAAATATACAAATTGCCAACAAGTATATGAAAAAAATGCTTAACATCACTGATCATCAGGGAAATGCAAATCAAAACCACAATGAGATATCATCTTACCCCAGTGACAGTGCTTATTACAAGAAAGACAAAAAAAATATCAAATGCTTGCAAGGATGCTGAGAAAAGAAAACTCTTACACATTGTTGGTATGAATATAAATTAGTACAGCCACTGTGGAAAACAGTATGGACGTCCCTCAAAAAACTAAAAATAGAACTACTGTATCATTCAACAATTCCACTACTGGGTATTTATCCAAAAGAAAGGAAATCAATATATTGAAGAGATATATGTACCCTCATGTTTATTGCAGTATTATTTACAGTAGCCAAGATATGGAATCGACCCATTCACCTGTCAACAGATGAATGGATAAAGAAAATGTAGTGTGCCTTTTCTATATACACAGTAGAATACTATCAGATATCAGATATAAAAAAGAATGAAATCCTGACACTCACCACAATATGGCCAAGCCTGGAGGACATTGTGTTAAGTGAAATAAGTCAGACATAGAATCACTCATATGAAGTTAAGCACACAGAAGTAGAGAGTAGAATTGTAATTATTAGAGGATGGGAAGGGTAGGGGGAAGGAAAGATAAGGAGAAGCTGGTTAACAGACATGAAATTACAACTAGATAAGAGAAATGAGTTCCAGTGTTCTATAGCACTGTAGGGTGATTATAGTTAACAATAATTCATTGTATATTTTCAGATAGCCAGAAGAGAGGATCTTGAATGTTCCCAACACAAAGAAATGATAAATATTTGAAGTTATGGATATGTAAATTACCCTGATTATATACATGTATTGAACTATACTCTGTATCCCACAAATATGTACAATGATTATGTGTCAACTAAAAATTTAACAATAATAAAATAAAGAACAACGATCTGGATATCAGGAGACCATGTTCCAGTCTACTGCTGTCTCTAATAGTCAAGTCACTTCAGTTTTCCATGAATGTAAAATGAGAACCAGGTTATTGGTCAAGGCTTCTCTGGATGTAAAACATCCATGTTTCTGTGAGTAAATGAGGATATAAGCAATTGGCTCAGCATTTATTCAATGCCCGTATTCTCAGCCTGCATCAGTTGCCCTTATCAATGCTTCTGACAGAGCCTGGCTGGAGTCAGCAAAGAAAGCTACATTTTCCTATTTGCATGCGTCTAGTTGAGCATCCAGGTGACTCAAATAGAAAGACTGCTCCAAGAATCCTAATACATGTTCATTGTTATTTTGTATGAGACCTCTCAAGAAACCCACAACATAACTTTCTCAATTTAGTCCAGTGACTGATAAATTTTGAAATATCTCTTGCATTTCTCTGTTTAAAAACTCTGACATTTTCTGTTGGGGGAAAAATATGTGTTTTGGCCTCTCTTCCTCTCTATGCCAGTAGTAAAGTATTGGTTTTAAGCAATAATATCAGAAAGGAGTCTGATAACACTGAACAAACATGTAAAAATTACCCACATCTTTGGACAGAGTGAGATTCACATTGCCTCCTGGCCAGATTTTGGGGCAGAGGCTGCTGTGGCAGTATTAGTATCTTTATTTCCTGTCTATGTTTTCTGGTCTGTTCTGGGAAGTGGAAGGCCTATAGTATATCTAGATCTTATCTTCTCTCCTCATTTTCCCCTTGAGATATAGATAAGATTTGGCTTGAATCTCTAATTCAGAAGCTCTCCACAAGATTTGTGTGAATTCATGGGTTGGTTACGGCTTGTATTACTTGGGGTTCAGTCTAAGCTGCTAAAATAAAGAGGCTCAAAACAGCAATGGCTTAAACACAAGAGAAGTTTACTCTCTCCTAAGTAATGGTCCAGAGATTTCCAGAACAAGGAAGGTAAAGCTACTCAGCCATCTTCAATGCCTGAGATTACATGCCTGAGTTCAAGGTGACTGGTCCAGCTCCTGCCATCATATCTGCATCCCAGATAGCAGGAAGAGGGAAATAACACACAAAGCTCATGTCTATGCCTTATAAAGGCATAGTGCAGAAATGGCACTCATTATTTCTGCTCATACCCCATTGCCCAGAGCTCATCTCACTGCACAACTAGCTGCAAAAGACCTGGAATGGGAGTCATTACCTGGGCTGACATAGATCAAACTACAAAAAGGAAATTCTATGCATAAAGGAAAGAAAAAATGGATGCTGGAGGACAATCAGCAGTCTCTATCAGATCCTGCCTCTAGCCACTCAGATATCCATTCACACCTTTTTTTCCCCCAACAAATGGAACATACTTTTCCCATCCCTGAGGAATCCAGCCCAACATTCCGTCTAGCTCCAAGTCTGGGCTCTCCCATGAGGGGCAGTCTTTTCCATCAAGTCTAAATAGGATTTCTCTTGGTCTAGTGGAGAGTTATCTTCCACTTCCACATACACACACACACACATACACACACACACAGTCTACAATGATGGAGTAGAAACAAATGAACTACAATTTAAAACTCCTATTATGTAAAGAAAAAGGGAAAAACACAGCAGTCATTTGTCCATAGCAATTACCAAATTCTCCCTTCCCTAAATGGATAAATTGCCTTAATTTGATCCTGCTTCTGCCTACTTAGAAGTTTTTCCTTCTCCATTATTCTCACTTATCACATATAAAGTGAGTATTGAAGACCATGCCCGACTTGAGAGCTGTACTGCTTTTGTAACTTATTTCCTGCTTGGGGTATATTTGGAGGGTTGGTGATGTGGTTTGGCTGTGTCCCTACCCAAATCTCATCTTCAGTTGTAGCTCCCATAATCCCCATGTGTCGTGGGAGTGACCCAGTGGGAAGTAATTGAATCATGGGGGCAAGTTGCACATACTCTCTTGCCTGCCACCATGTAAGACATACCTTTCCTCCTCCTTTGCCATCCGCCATGATTGTGAGGCCTCCGTAGCCATGTGGAACTGTGAGTCCATTAAACCCCTTTTTCTTTATAAATTACCCAGTCTCAGATATTTCTTCATAGCAGTATGAAAATGGACTAATACCACTGGGGTTGTTTTAGGGATGGAAGAATAAGAGGCTTTTGGAAACCAGACTTGTGGGTTTTTGGCAATTAAATTTCTCAAAACTATTTTTATGCTTCTGGCTATTTGGTTCCATTGGTTCCATATATATTTAACTGCAGCCAAAGAGTTCATCCAAACAGAGTTTTTTTTAAAAAAAAAAAAAACAACAAAAAAAACTGATCTTACATGTACTGGTCTTTGTGCTCCAACTCTCTCTCTCTCTCTCTTACTCTCACTCTCACTCTCTCTTTCTCATTTTCTCATTAATTATAGCTTCTTTGGGACCATCTGAAACAATAGATTTGGTTGGGAAGGCAGCACCCTTAATCTGATTTTTGCTTCTGGATTAGCTCTCACCATTTGGATGGGAAGTCTTGCTGGCAAGTGATGGGAAAGTCTTGGGCTAAAACACTACCATTTGCTAAAGCTGCCACTTTAGATTATGAGTCACCTTTTATAACTAGACTGATGTCATCAATCTAAAAGTGATAAGAAATTTCTAGACTACATCAACATTCTGACTTTTCCAACCAGTTTCACCAAAGTTTCTTGATCTAGCATCATACAGTCTGTCTTTCAAAGTTTTATTAGAGAACATTTTTCTGAATATTTTGTCAGGATGTAACAGGAGTCACCAGATTCTCAGCCTGCAATGTTTTTCTTTGCCTCCTGCTGCCCAACCACTAAACCACTTATTTTGGGTTATGTTATGACAGCACCCCACTTCTGATAGCAAATTCTATGTTAGGTGGAATATAGCATAAACCACTAACACAATGAATCCCAGGTGCAGTGGCTTAAACAAGAAATGTATTGTTTTAAAATACAAAATTTTCACTTGTAAACAATTCTGAAATGGAAATGTGTTTTGTAATCAATGTCATTCAAGCATTATGTCATAGTTTAACTGGGTATGTATATTTTTCTTCTTGAGGTTACATAAAATAATAGTGCTTTTGCAACTTACTGCATCTAAAATTTCATTTTTCTCTCATATAACAGTCCAGATGTTGGCAAGCAAGAATTAGTAAGATGGCTCTATCATCCTCAACATCTGCCACCCATATTTGGGTCCAAGATATCTGCTCCAGCTCTTTCATTATTTACTAGCCAGCAAAAATGGGAAAGTGGCAGGGGAATGTTTGCTCATTTCCTTTAAAGGCACAGCCTAAAAGAAATACGTATCGTTTCTACACATATATTAACCATCTTAAGTCACATGTTGACACGTACTTTTAAAAAGGCTTGAAAATGCATTCTTGGCTGGGCGCGGTGTCTCATGCCTATACTCCCAACACTTTGGGAGTCCGAGGTGGGTGGATCACCTGAGGTCAGGAGTTCAAGACCAGCCTGGCCAACATGGTAAAACCCCGTATCTACTAAAAATGCAAAAATTAGTCAGGCATGGTAGTGGGCACCTGTAATCCCAGCTACTTGGGAGGCTGAGGTACGAGAATTGCTTGAACCCGGGAAGCAGAGGTTGCAGTGAGCCGAGATCGCGCCATTGCACTCCAGCCTGGACAACAGAGGGAGACTCCATCTCAAAAAGAAAAAAGAAAAAAAAAAAAAAAAGAAAAGAAAAGAAAAGAAAAGAAAATGCAGTCTCTACCTGGACAGCAATATTCCCAGATAAAACATAGCAGTTTTTTTATGATAGGAAAAGAAAGGAGGGATACCAGTAATCACTTAGCAGTCCTTACCATACCTCTGCCTACAAATTCCTGTTACTTCAGCTAATGCATTATCTCCCAATTCACTATTTCATCAAACCCAATGTGAAACTCCTCAGTTCCTTGGTCTCCAAAAATTCACTCACTAAAGGCAATTTACATTTATAGAGGTAGACTTTACTGAAGCCCTGACTATGGGGAGACAAGATTTCCCATCCCAGCAATAAAAGAAACTTCAAACTGAATAGCAGATATCTCTATTTTTGGAAGTCTTTTCAGTCCCCAATGGCCATAGTGCTGGGAACTTTTCCAATCTCATTGTCTTCTCTCCTCATTCTCTCTTTCTTCTCCTTCAACACACAGTCTTATTTTTCACCTTCTATCCAATGCAGAGCAAGTTTGCTTTCTCTTCACTTTTCTTCAGCCTGTGCAATGCCTGCCTTAGGAGTCTCACTTTTATCATTCACAACTTATCAAGGACTGTTTCTAAATAAAGACAGCTACCCTCCCAGAAAGAAACTCTGATAAAGCTAACTGCAAAGATGATAATATTGTCATGCTTCTTCAGAAGACTGTCAGAGGCCTGAGAGGAGCATATAGAGGAAGTTAAGCCCAAATGCCTAAAATTCTACCAGATATAATCTGAGAGAAATCTGACATGGGGAAGGTGGAACTCAGCAAATGCATAGAGCTAAGTGTTGTTATAATGCTTTGTGGGTCATTTTGAGAACAAGTCCATAAAGTGATATATACTTTCTGCCTTGTTAACTCTCTAACATTATAACCTTCTATATTGTCTACCAGTTTCCTCACTAAGGTCTTTAGTAATGCCACTGCCACCCACACATCAATAAACGTATCAACTCATATGTGAAATCTATATAGTTCTTCCTTAAATGCCAGTAATTAGGTATTAATGAGGCCCTAGTTTCAGAAGACAGCCATTTATCTTTCCCCTATTTTTCCTGGTTTCTGTATATCAGCTATTCATTTTCACATTTTTAGGGCCTGGGTATCTGCTATTTATATTCCCTTTCCCCACATCTTATTTGAACTGGAAACAGGTCTATCAGTGGTGGTGGTAAAGCACACAAGACTCATCCAGCGTGGGGCCTGACCCCATTGATAATTTCCACCCAGTTTCCCCAGCATCAGCAGCTTACTACAATGCTTATGAGTTCCAACTGGGACAGATTTCAGATCCTGCCAACCTCCTGGCACAGACAAGTAGGTACTAGCATGCCTTCAACAATATTGTATAATTCTGACCATCTGAAGGGTGGTGAGAGTATGGTGGCCTCATGCCACTCATGTCAGCCTCCAGGTTTGGGTCAATTCCTGTAAGTTTGGGTCAGTTCCTGTAATGGTTGAATCACACTAGCAACAACAGCCTCTTTTAATAAGAAGTAGACTTTTGGGTTTTTCTTTCATGGAATTACATGTGAATGCCTCATATGGTCAAAAGAAAGAAGGTCTGCACGCCTATATTTAAATGCTGCAAGTAATTCCCGCTCATTCTAACTCTATCCAGATGTGGGTACTCTGTGCCCATGTAAATTAGATGGCTTTCTTTCTTTTCAGCCTTGTCGAGAATCTGCACTCTGACTCACACAGAAAAAAAAAAAATGGAAAGAATGTGCGGCAACTACACACAGGACATGCTATTTTAATAGTACACGCTCTGTTAAAGGGAAAATTGGTGCTTTTGTGCTGCAAACAACAGCATTTGCATTTCGAGGGGCTAGACACTATTGCTCAGTACCAACCAGTCAACAATGGCCTTTCGTCCTGGATGTCAGCTATTCCCATAGTTCAATTTCTGGTCTGGGTTCTAAGTATTCTTGACTAGGAGCCACATCTGTTCTCTGCCCCCAGCCTTACTGCAGTGACATTCTAAAAGGGAAGAATTATTTTGAGATAATGGGCCCTCTGTAGTGCCTACAGCATTTTCCATTCTATTCCTCTCTCTCAAGTAGTAAACTGCAGTCAGGCAAATGTGGGTACCAAAAACTCAACACAAAAAGCAATTCACATTGCCCATCATGTTTTGTGTTCCACGGAGTTTCTCATTTAAAACACTTCCCACTAGAGGCCCATTTCACAAACTTGGGCTCTTAGGAAATGGAAAAAAATAAAAGGAGGAAATAAGGCAAGGCATCTCCTTCTTTTTGCCATCCTTGACTCCTTTACTGATTGCTCTTTGGAAAAGCTTGTTCCATGCCTGACAGAATAGGATTAATCTTCAGTCCACCTTCACCTCAAACTCATTCTTTGTCCTATGAGACAGCAAAGGGAAGAGACCCACAGATGGCAGAGGGGCCTACAGGCACCAAAAGTAATGACCCTGCCTTTTCAAAGGATGACATCTCAGCAGCTCCCTGAGCCTCGCTGTAACTCCAGATTTTGCCCCAGTCACCATCTACAGCATATGACATGTGTGTTTGTTTACCCCTAACTGTGAGGATGAGAAACAAAATTCAGAATAAATAGAATAAATCATAACTGAGACTCATGTGTTATTGATGCATAAATATCTTAGAACAATAAAATCACATTACGCTGACCCACTTCTTACAGTTTACAAAGTGCCTTCTTATACAATATTACATTTGCTCCCTGGAGCCGTTCGGTGAAACAGGCAGGGCAAGTCTACTACTCAGGTTTTACAGATGAGAAAAACGAAACACAGGGAGGAGTGTTAACTCCCCCAAGATCTCAGAGCTCATAACAAGGGGAAGAGAGAAGCTGAGCTTCTGGTTTCTAAGCCCAAAATTATTTTTACCACATATTAAACAGACATTCCAAAATCAATATCTCCACTGTCTAATTGTCTAACTTGTTAGTACCCTGAAGGTAGGAATTTCAGGGCTGGCATTTACTTGGGAGCAGGGTAACCGATTGTCCTAGTTTGCCTGGACTGTCAGTGCTAAACCTGGGACTGTCCTGAGAAAACAAAGACAGGTGGTCACCCTAGCAGGCAGTACTCCCAGCACAAAGAGGGTCTGTTCTAGCCATGTTTCCCCCTCAGTCAGCACACAGCATTTTCAGGCAATGTGTGCTAATTCCAGAGGACACCTTTAGCAAATGCTTTCAGAAAAATGAAGAGATCCTAAGAGCCTAATCTTTTGATGAGAAATGCAAGAATCCTTCTACAGCACTGCCCCATGAAGGCACTGGTGCCAGACTGATTAGAGAAACAGTGAATCTGCTCCTCAGAGTGTGTCCTGCACCAATAACTCTAAAACCATCTTTCCCCAGGCAGTCAGAGATCGGACCTTCCACCTGGCTGAACTGGAGCCCTGTGAAACAGTGTGACCACTGGGAGGGTTGTGAGGTGAATAGGAAGGAGAAAAATAAGAGACTTGTTTGTGATGTTTTCCCCCAGTGATTTTGAATTATTAGAGATTGATGTCTGATGATTGAGTTGACTCCACCAAAGAAAGACTGATGCTGACATTTTCAGATAATTTCTAAGATGCCTTTCTGCTCAAAACAAAACAGGGATTCTATTCTCTATGCCTTTGATGCTAAAGTGAGCTTGGTCCATTATCTGAATATCAGCCCAAATATGGAAATACATATCAAAATCCTTTAAAATGTCCACACCCTTGGACCTAGACGTTTTACTTCAAGGAATTTTAGCTTATGAAAGCAATCAGAGAAACATATATTAGTATTAATATAATAACTTCATTATAGCAGAAATATCATGTTGCCATGTAACATTGACTGCTGGGGGTTCAGGAAGATCTGGGTATGTTTGAAGCACGGTAAGACTGGCTACAAGGGAACTGGAGTTGTGTTCACTCAGGGGGTTTACAAAGAGCAAGGCATGTCTGCGAATCTGGTAGAGTACAGAAGTTCAGGTCTAGGTCAGGGGACCTAATCAGCCAGATTTAACCACCTGGCCACTCCACAGGCCTCCCTTAAACCTTCCCCACTTAGCTTGCTGAGAGCGAGTGAGACCACATATCCTTGGCAGGAGCACCCTCCAGTAAACAAAGACAAGTAGGAGTGGGGCTGTTCATACCTTGTTTCTCTCCCAAACTCACCAGTTCAATAACACTCCACCTCCCCAGGAGTCAAGCAAGGGCTATGGTAAGCAGTTAGGAGTGTTTTGGCTAATGGGTGTTCCCCAACATGGAAAGAAACATCAGGAATAAGAAATAAATTCCCTCCTAATGACAGAGATAGAGACAGAGCTATATGAAAAAGAAAGCCCCTGGGTCAATGTTATTCTTCGTTGTTATTATGGGTGATTTTTGTTTTCTTCCGTGTGTGTGTGTGTGTGTGTGTGTGTGTAATTTTCCATATTTCCTGTAAGTAGGTAGTATATTTGAAATCAAGTTGGAAAAGAAAAGTAATTACTTGGGATCATATATAAGAGAAGACAAAGACAGAACCCCCCACCACTGGGCATCCTAGCCCCTGCCTAGAAGATACGTGACTGTTGCCATCCAATGGCATTTCACCTGGGTTGGTGGCCTTTAGGAGTGGCCCACTTATTCCACAGAAAGCAACTTCAGGCCTCGTGCTCAGGGAAGGAAGTGGCTCTGAAACTTTCAGGTGAAGGACTGACAATTCAGCAAGAAAATGTTATCTTGAAGCTCCTCAAAGACATGATGAGAACCCATTGACCCCCTGTAATCAGTTACTGGAGATTTCAGAGAGAATAGAACACTGACCAGACTGTAGACCATCAGGAAATGACTCTCACTGGGTGTGAGGATGTGAGAATGCTGCTGGGGAGGGGAAAGAAGAACCTGCAACATTATATCAGGGTTGCAGAATATCAGAGCTTGGAGAATCCTTGAAAAGGGGAGAGGAGCTAGTGTTCAGCCTCCTAATTTCACTGGTAAAAAGACAGAATGGAGAGCTCAATGACTTAACAAAGATTCCACAATTCTTTAGGAGCATTGGGGTTATCTTAAATTTTTTTTTCTTTTTTCTCTCTGTTAGACACAAGTGGCACATTGCCAAGATCTAAAGTTATCATTGTAAGAAAGTTGTCCAGCCATAACAACACACTCTTCATAAACAAAATTAGGTAGTCGATATGGTTCTTATGACTCACAGAAGGGAATTAAGGAGTAAAAAGGTATTGCCATTTCCCAAAGTGTGATCACCAGGACTCTACTTTTACAGGTGAGCAATAGGTACTAGATGGGAAAAGAGAGCTAGGGGAATAGCTCTGAGGAACACTGGGTTAAGCAATATTGTAAATGACTCCTGATTGCTACTATGTTTGTGAATCTGCATCTGTATTAGTTCTCACGCTGCTAATAAAGACATACCTGAGACTGGGTAATTTATAAAGAAAAAGAGACTTAATGAACTCAGAATTTCACATGGCTGGGGAGGCCTCACAATCATTACAGAAGGCAAAAGAGGAGCAAAGGTATGTCTTACATGGCAGCAGGCAAGAGAGCTTGTGGAGGGGACCTCCCACTTATAAAACCATCAGATCTTGTGAGACTTATTCACTAGCATGAGAACAGCATGGGAAAAACCCACCCCCATGATTCAATTACCTCCCACTGGATCCCTCCCACTACACGTGGGGATTATGGGAAGTACAATTCAAGATAAGATTTGGGTGGGGGCACAGGCAAACCATATCAGCATCTCAAACATCTTTGACCATAGAAACTTCATTCGTCTTGGAGGACTAATGTTGTACAGATATATTTGGGTAATGCTGAGCTACAGGGTCACTGCCTTAGGCAGAATCCATGATTTATTCAGAGCAACCATGGCTAGGTTGTCTATGGCTGTGGCCTTCATAGCATACCCTGAGCCTTTCCTAAGAGTCAAAAACTCTACTCAGGAATGTTCCTGCCCAATAATCTGCTGCCTGAGATAAACACACATAAACACACATCTGTTTCTTTTCATTTTGCTAATTTTCTTGGTCCATCATTTGTAATTCCACAATAATTTTTTTTACATTGTAAAACATGCAATGAAATATCTTCCTAAAACTTCAGTGTTATTTTTCTCTTAAGCTTCTGCTTTGATGGACTATAGAACAATGCCAAATAACACCAAAAAGAAAACTAGTGATGACTGACAGAAGATCCTAAGCAGAAAACAAATCAAATAACCTCAACTTGAACACTATCTGTTCAATCACTTCTAAATGATAGCACTGCAAGAAAATACATGCTATTGATTTTATGGTTTTGATTGCTTTGCTTTTGTATTTCAAAAAAAGAGCTTCCTTTGTCAAACTGGAGTTTGAAAAGGCCTGTGTCACTGGAATAAACCATGGTGCTTTTAGATAAAACTTCCTATGGAGACAATTAGGTGACAAATTCAATGCCATATAGACAGAAAATCTTGTATGCAGACCTTGTTGTAAATTGGCTGTTTTCTTAGCAGTTCCTAAATATACAGTAAACAAATATCCTAAAGATTAATCTCAATTATCATTAGGATCTGCAGAGCCAACAGCTAAATCAAGATAGAGAGAAAAGTCTAGATAAGACCTGTGTGTGAGGCAGACCAGACTTGATTAGGAGAGTAAAGAGTGAGTGTTGCTGAGGCCACCTAATGACAAAATACTTCTCTTTGTTTCAAACTTATTTCTGGGTATAGGAATATTCATGATGAATATGACTGAAAATATATTTATAGCAGCCTTGCAAAAGTTCTTAAAAGTCATCCAAACTGTCAGAAGCATGTCACCCCTAGTAAAGACTAGTTAAAACTTAGAACATATAATCTTTTAATGTAAGATCCTTTTCACCCTGCGAGAAAATACCACAAGTTCCTTCCCCAAACTAAATTCTCCAAACTAGTGGTCCTACAGAGAGAACCCATGGCCAGTGATCAACAGCAACAATAAGAAATGACATTCAAGTCCATGAGTGCACGTACATAGAACACACTCTAGCCTGAACTCCAGCACACCTATAATAAGGAAAAACGCTTAACAAACTACTACGATGGATGTGTCTACCTCCACATTAGACTTATTTTCATTTTTTGTTGCTCAAATAACATGTCCTGCCATTCTTACGGTCATCAGAAGAGAATATTGGTCTTTGTTGTCTACTAACCTTCTATTTCATAAACAGGAGCTGGTCTTAGCAAATACTTTCTCAAGAAACCATCATTAAAGAAACCTTTATCCTTAAAGTAGAAATGCCAGTAGAAGCATAATAAATTCATTTCTTAAATTATTCTCCCCTTCTGTGCAAATCAGTTTACATTTGCTTTTTAGAAAGAAATTTAATTTTGTTGGGGGGGTGAGTTGGGGGGCTGGGCAGAGTCTGCACTGCATTGACAGGAGGAGGTGGTGGCTGTCTAAAAGCTGTATGTTGGAATAATAGCTATATTGGAGGAGAACTCTGGGAAAAGGAAAAGAAGGGTGGGAGTAAGGGGAGGGGAACCTCAAGCCAACTCCCCCTCTCCCTGTTTTTCTATCTCCCCATCCCCATTCGGACTACATTCTCAGATTCTAAACATTTCCTGAACTTCAAGCTCTTATTCCTCTCCATATTCACAGATTTTTTTTTTTTTTTTTTTTTTTTTTTTTTTTTTGAGACGGAGTCTCGCTCTTTTGCCCAGGCTGGAGTGCAGTGGCGTGATCTCGGCTCACTGCAAGCTCCGCCTCCCGGGTTCACGCCATTCTCCTGCCTCAGCCTCCCGAGTAGCTGGGACTACAGGAACCCACCACCACGCCCGGCTAATTTTTTGTATTTTTAGTAGAGACGGGGTTTCACCGTGTTGGTCAGGATGGTCTCAATCTCCTGACCTCATGATCCGCCCACCTTTGCCTCCCAAAATGCTGGGATTACAGGCGTAAGCCACCATGCCCGGCCCCCCAATTTTTTTTTAAATTTACTCTAAAGTGACAATACTACTTCCTAGCGGATATTTTATATGAGTCAAGGGGCAGGTGTGGGCTCTTGAAAGTCAGACACAAAAAGAGAGACAGAAGAACAAAGAGAAAACTTGCCAATGCCTAGCAAGGCCTTCTTATGGTAATATTATAACAATATAATATTATTTTCTTATATATTATGTCATTATATATATTTATATTGTTACTATTATTATTACTATTATTTATATTATTAGTATATTACATTATATATATATTTATATTATTACTATTATATGTATTATATACATATAATAATAGATATTAATAATGGTAGTAGTAATATAAATAATAGTAATAATATTACTATATATAATGATATAATATGTAATAATATAGTGAGTGACTGTGTGTGTGTGTGTGTGTGTTAGGGATACATAAAGGGAATAAACCTCCACAGCCAAGATGGCCAGGGGAGGTCTGGGAATCCAGCTGAGATGGGTTTGAGCAGGAGGAACTTAAAGCAAGTTCCTCAGACCTTGGGGCTCTCAGACTTCTGAGATCAGATCAGCTTTAGTCATGATGACACAGGGCACGGGGTGAAGCTGTGGAAGTCTGGTGGACTCACCTGGGAATGACCCAGGGGAGCTGCTGGGATGTTCGCCTATCAAAGGAGGAATGTGGAAAAGGCCGAAGCTTAGCAAGTAAACATGAGCCCCTGTGAGCATGAAAAGAATAAAGTAAGGACATGGGAAAGAGAGCAGAAAAAGCAGGAAGTAGGCTGGCAGGGAAGAAAAGATGAATTTGAGGGGTGGGGGAGAGTGCATTATTCTCATTTATGGACACTCAGGACGTTAGAAGCCAGTTAGTCATTCCTGAAATTCCTGATCCTGGTAAATTTCTCCATAGGAAGATGAGACCTGTCCACATGTGAATAGGCAATAGTCTCCTTTGTGAGGCATTTTATTTGCTGTGATAAAGTGCCTTATTGCCTTTGCCTTCCATAAACTGCAGGATTCAAATTATGTAAGATTTTAGGGTACTTCCATTCATACAAGGACAAGTCAAAGGCCATAATTACTGTGTTTATGTAATACAGATACATTTCAAAACAAAACATGAGCCATGCCCTTGCTTTTTGCAAAAGCAATTCTATTGAATCATAAATAAGTTTACACAGTCTTTATCGCTCTGCAAGATGTTTTCATTTTGTTTGGTCCATGTCCCAAACTGTATTTTGTTTTAGACTTCTCTCATTTTCTTTTGCTTGTGAAAAACTACTTAAGGCCAAGTCTCAATTTCTACAAACATTCTAGTTAAAAATGAATTATTGATTAGAGAAAAGTAATGCTATCATCCCGAAGGCCCTGTTTTCTTCCTTGGTTCCAGCTGTGTGCTCACCACCATCCTTTATCTGAGAAGCAAATGTATCAAGTCTAAGCAAGAAGAAAACACTTGGAGCAGGTGGGATTTGAAGGGAAATGGTGAGGGTGTAGAGCTGATGGAGTCCTTTCAAGACGGTGTTGCAACAGGAATTGGCTGTGGCAGGCAGAAAGATTCTTTTGTGTCAGAGACTTATGAGGATGATGGCTGGTAAAAAAATGGTATAATAAGAGGTTTTAATGGATAGAAGTCAAAAACGACTAAAAAAAGAATCAAAAGCACAAAGATTGACTGCAAACACTTTGGCTCTGAGCCTAAATAGAAAACCATACTAAAAGTTTGGGATACTGTCTGTAAAATGTAATTGAAAAAGAAGTAATTTATGTTTATAAGCTGGATAAACTTGGATAACACAGAGATACTCTTAGACTGAGTCATACACCAGAGCAAGGATGACTAGATTTGACCATTGGAAAGAAACAGGAAGTAGCCAGGAAGAAACCTGAGGCTGAGGATTTTTTTTTCTTGTGTAGAACAAGTACACCAAAGGAAATGGACATTTTGCATTAAAGGGCCAGTCTAGAAATGAAATAAATATTCACAAATCCTGGAACTTTTCAAGTATTCCTGAGAATACCCCATCAGCATGGTACTTCCTACCACTGGAGTGTCAGAGATTAGGCCCAGGGCAGCATGTTCCATGCTGGGCAGCAGTTTTCAATCTGAGATGGTCATTGCGAGTGGAAGTTCTTACTCAAAAAAGAAATAGCAGCCTTTGGGAATCTTTGGGAGGTATAATCCAGTTATTTTGATCCTAGAAACAATGAGGCTGCATTTTCCCGTGATAGGAAATGAAAAAGCAAACATTTGGGATGCTTCCTTACCAAAGTTTTAGGAAGAAGCATTTCTCCCCAGTGTGGGGTCAGGCCAAGACCAGTGATATATCAATATCAGTAATGTCAAAGATTCAAGTCCAACATGATCTCTAAGATCCTGTAGCCAGAGATGCCTATGGCCCAGCATTGTCAGGAAAAGCAGCACAAGAGACTCGGAGGTCATGAAGTTCACTGTGGCCTGGAAAGGGGGCTGACCAGGAAGGCTAAGCTAGGAAGATGAAGGTAGAAGGTGGACTCTAATTTAGTTCTGTAAAATAATTCTAGAAACAGTATTAATCTCATATATTTCTATAGGCCTTTATAGATATAGACCTTTACAATGCACTTTTATAAGCATTATCTCATTTAATTTCTAAAATGGAAGGGCTTGTATTTAAACTCAGTCTTTACCAATTCTTAGCCATGGTGATCCTGGACCAGTCACCTCTATGAGCTGAAGTTTTCTCATCTGTGAAATGAGGATAATAAAAATACTGACTTCCAAGTATTATAATGAAATAGATGCAAAGCCTTTCACATGGTGCCTGAAGAAATAGTAAGCACTCTCTACATTTTATTTATCTTTTAAAAATTTTAATAGACCTCACACTAACCCTGTGAGGTGCCCAGAGCAGATGCTGCAACTCCATGTCACAGATGAGGAAACTTAGAAAACTAAAGCTCAGAAAGTGACTTGCCTAATATGGCCAGGGCATAGACCCTCAGAGAAACTAGAAAATGTGTTGTGTAATCAAAACTAAGAGAGCTCTGCACAGTGGCATTCTGAGTTGCATCTCCTTGTGTTTGTACCTCGTTGCAGCTGGGAAGAGTCAGAGGGACAAACAAGTTTCAGATTTTTAAACCGAAGGAAACTCTGACAGAAAATCCAGCGCTTGCTGGACCATTCTGATTCTCACCCAGCAAGGGTTAAATTATGCTCAGGAGGATCTCAGGAGACAGCAGGGTCCAAAAAAAGAAGGAAGGGTGTTGTCCCTGGGAGAAAGATGTGCCTTGAAAGCCCAGATGCCCTCACTCATGCACATGGCAGTGCTTGGTGAGGACCTCCACCCTTGAGTCAGCAGAGCTGTGTGCATGTGGCTGACCTCTGGTCACATATCTCAGCCCATACCATAAAACATCAACTTTCTGGAATCCCCATGAACTGACTCATTGTGGAGAGAGTTGAGGACTTACTTTTTAAAGCACCCAACACTTGACAAAATATCACCATTACCTTTGTAATGAAAATGTCTTAATGGGTCACAGACTTCCTTGGCTTTTTAAGCCGAGTAGGTGGAGTATAACTTATCCTTTCCTTGACAACTGACCATCATGAATGATGCTGATGCTGCTGTTCTGAGCAACCATATTTTGAGTAACAAGGTTCTAGATGATCTATGGAAAAGTACTAGGGAATGTAACAACTAGAATTAGCTAGAAGGGCACCATCATGAACATCCATTATTATACTGGGTTGTATACACTCATCTTCTTGGGATATTTTGAAGCATGTTGGAAAGAGGTTTCCACTAAACTAAATATTTCCAGATTACTGCCTGAGCTTTCTTAGTACTTCTCTGTGCTTCATTTAATATTTTTTGTCTTGTCTTTTATTCTTTTGCCCTTGCCTGCCTATATCTATCTCTTGTTCTCTCCAAACCCCTCTAACTTGCCTCTTCCCTTCTACTATAGACAGCCAAGCTTTATAAAATAGGTTGTAAAATAGGTACAAATAACACTTTAAAAGGGTGAATTTTATGATATATGAATTATATCTCAATAAAGCTATTTTAAAGTGCATTGCAAACTATAAAATCTTACAAAAGGTGAGAAATCACATCACTCTGTTTATATGATAATAAACTATTTCACTCTTTTATTTAAAAATATAAAAGCCCAAATAGGCTCTGAGTTGACTTAGAACTTCTCCAGAAGTAATATGCCTAAGAGTTAATGTATGGCCTTTGAGACATCTATTTTTGTTTACATAGGTGATTTTTTGGCTTAGTTCTTCATCTTGTAAGTGAAATTAATAGTGAGATGTGGTATGACTCTAGCTGCTTTGATTGAAGCCTCCTTCTTTATCCTTTCTTCATTCATTTGGCATTTTTGGATGGCCTACTCTGTGCTGGGCCCTAGGAGTAAACATGAATTTCTAAGTGATTCATAAGCAAATGAGTCCTTGTGCAGATCTTTAGGTGTAACACTCTAGGAAGTATGAGTTTTAATGCTTCCTTGATTTTTTTCCCTTAATAACTTCATGACCCCCAAATCCAATCAGTCCCTATAGAAGCAGCATAACCAACCAATTGGATTGCCAGCCTGTTGTTGGAGAGTTGGCCCACAGAGTGGAGATTCCTGATCAGAGGACAAAGCTGAAAGGACAACATAGAACTACTTCTAATTGTCACATTCCCTAGTACTTTTCCATAGATCAGCTAGAACCTTATTACTCAAAGTATGGTTGCTCAGAACAGCAGCATCAGCATCATTCTCATCACACCTTGTAGTGTGTGAGAAATAGAAAATCTTAGGCTCCACCCAAGACCTATTACAGTAGAAGCAGCCTTTTAACAAGATGCCCAAATGATTCATATGCTCATTAAAGCTTGAAAAGCACTGATCTAGATAATATTTTACACTAGCATGCCTGAAACACCTGTCTCTTCACCCACTGCAATAATCACAGCTTTCAGAGCCCTTAGATGAATGATGCCCAACATGAGAGGCCATCGTTTGGCACAGAGGCACATCCCACCAGTTAGTAGGCAGAAGACGGTCTTGATGATGCTGAGCAGATGTTCAGCGTTCTTGCTGAACAGTCAGAGACCATTGCTGTTCTCTTCACAATGTCTGTCAGGTTCAATAACTCTTCTCCAGTGACTCACCTCTTTATACACACGTGCTGTAATTTTCTTTAAAGACTAGTTTGTCAGCAGCATCCAAAGCTGGATCTACTTCCTTTGTTGCAAAACTTCATCTGTATTCTTGGAAATACCCGCCCCCCAGTTCAAATTCAACTCTAGTCTTCCTAACACCATTTCATTCATCCATTCGTTCACTTGAAAAGTACTTACTGAAAGATTACTATGTGCCAGGGACTACCAGCATCTCCACCATGTAAACATTTGCACTCCCTCTCTGCCAACTAGCTTGCTTGCTTGCCTTTAACACTTAGTTTCTACTTTTTACATAATATTGGAAACATTTTTAAGTAGAAAACATACTCTCTATCCTTAAATAACTAATACTGTAATTGAGAGGGCAAGATATAGAATTTAAAAATATGTGAAGAGTAAATTTTCAAGTCCCAAAAGGGATGATATATCCTATACTACAACAAGCACTGCATTGTGCCTGAGTCAAGAATCCATTAATCCACTTCAGGATCCTAGATACGTCTCTTTGTCCTTCTAATTTTCAGTTTCTTCTTTGTCTTTTTTGTTGTTTGTTTTTGTTTGTTTGAGACAGCATCTCGCTCTGTTGCCCATGCTGGAGTGCAATGTCGCGATTATGGCTCACTGCAGTCTCAACCTCCCAGGCTCAAGCAATCTTCCTGCCTCAGCCTCCCAAGTAGCTGGAAGGACAGGTGTGTGTCACCATGCCTGGCTAATTTTTCTATTTTTTGTAGAGACAGGGTCTTGGTATGTTGCCTAGGCTAGTTTTATCAACTACTAAAAAAAAGTGTTAGACCATCTAATCTTAAAAAATTCCTCCCAGTCTCCAACAATTCAAATGCCCAAAGATGGCATCCTAAACATATACACTGAAGGAATTCAAGGAAAGAAAATAAGCACATGGGTTTGGATAGGGAAACTTTATATCATCACAGTTAAGAGTCCATTTTGATGTCACACAATTCTAAACTCAAACCTTTGAGCTAGAAATTAATACGCTTGAGGTCTTTGACCACTGGCTTAATCTCTTTGATCCTCTGTTTTCTCCTTCATAAAGTGGAAATAATAATAGTAACTATTTTATAAGATTACTACGAGGATTAAATGGAATAATTCATGTAAGGTCCTTCACACAATGCCCGGCATGAAGGATGTGCTAAATCGATGATGGTAGTGATGCTGGTGCTGATGGTAGTATTTTTAGGAAGGTCTCTGTGGAACAAGCAAGCCTTCCCAGTAAGGATTAAATTCCACTTTGAGTTGGAAGAACTGGTGAGCTATAGGAGGTGAACTACAAGGGGACTGACCAACGGGCCATAGAGAAGCAAAAGGAAGGAATGGTAAGAGGTAGGGAAGATGGAATACAGGTAAGTTAATAGATAACTTTGCTGACCAGAATGGATGTGGGAGGGAAGACTTGGTTTGACAGAAAGAAACAGTGCTTGAGGGTGGTGTCTCTAACATTTCTGGGCAGATAATGAGGGGTTAAGAGACTCAAGGCAGGGAGACCAGCCAGAAGCCCATAGTTACCTCTGGATAAATTACTGGGATCTAGACAATAGAGCAAAAAGTCAGGAAGCAAAAGCTCTGTCCTCTGGAGCTCCCCAAGGATCTTCAAGATCCTCCCTAAGAAATTCCTCTTGGTCTCCTACACACACATGTTTAGTATTTTTTCTCACCCCAATTAAAACTGGAGGAAACATGCAACCATGCCCATGTGCCTGGAAGGTATGTGAGGAGCTGAGATCACATCCTGTCTGTGAGTTCTGAGTCAGAGAATCCCGTAAGAGGATATTGAAGGTTACTAAGCAGGCCATGTCACTTTCAGTCTGGCTGTAGTCAGATCTTGTTGGATAAGAGCAGGGCCCAAGCCCTCCAGGCATGGCAAGGCCTCTGCAGTGCCATGTGGTTGCTATTACTGAGCCTAAACAATGAGCCAAGAGCTCATACAGACTGCTCATCCTGGCCTATTTCATAGGCTACACCCCAAGGCTGTCCAGAAGAACAGAGACTGCCCCAACATAACCATGGTAGGCAAATTATTTCCTAGAGACACACCAGAGGTGGAAGTGGGAGAGAACTTGACCTAATTATAGACTAAATTGACCAGAACTTTGCTCCTGGGATAACGTTATCACTGCTTGTTCCTTAGCATGCTCACTTGGGTTTGGCACGTTGTGGCTCTTCTCCACAGCTTCCTGGATGGCAAACATTGCTCTGGCCCCGTATTCTAAACGAAGAAACTGTCACATGATACACAGAGAGGTGTCTGGTGAGATGGGACTTCACTAGGACAGTTCAGCAGTACACACACACACACACACACACATACGCTGGCACATCCATCACTGGAGTGGTGGTGGGTGAAGCATGATTTCATACTTCACAATCTCAGTAATCTTCTGCGGAAAAAAAGATGTGATAGGAGATGGATGCAAGTTTTTCTAGTAGCACATGGTGGTCATGTTCCCATGGCCATAACCAGGTGGAGAAGTGAGGTGATTATGCAGGCAAAGATTGCAGTTTCTTTGAAGAACCACCCCAGGAAGATTCTCCAAGATCTCTCTCATTCTTGGCCTAAACTCAAGTGTTCAGCAAGTGATGACTGAGTTCTGGCTGTATCAACAATAGCCTCAGATGCTTTGATGGATTCTACAATGCCCTTGATAATCTGCTAAGTAGGTGAGGCCTAGGGAGAAAGAGAAGGCTTCCCAGAGACAGTGACATTTGAGTAGGATTATGGATGATGAGTAGGGTTCAAAGGCCCGAACTGAGAGAGCCCATTTCTTCAGAAGCCTCTGCTGCTGATACAGCCCAGCAAATACAGTATTCCTAATGAGTGCAGCCTACTCTTTTTAAGTCTTATCTTAGTCTCCCCTCTTCACACCTTAATGTTCCAGAAGATATCTCCTGTAGTAGAGAGGAACTGGTTATCCTTGAAGTGAGGATCTCTTTGTTATCAAATGGCTTTCCCTCTCTGTTCTTTGTTGTCCCCACTCCTCCCTAAATCACAGCCCCAGCTCTAAAACTTTAGCACTAAAATCAGCTGAAACTGAGACCTTATTTTCTAAATAGAAACTGAGGAACTATGGCCCAATTCAGCAACATACAAATGTACCTACCTCATTGGATGGTTATGAGGTTTCAGTAATTGCTTACTATATCTAAAGCACTAGAATAGAGCCTAATGTGTATAAGCATTCTGTAAATGTTTTTCTAAGAACAATAATGAGGCAAGTGCATTGATGCACCTAGTACTGGGGATGGCTCAGAAGATGGAGTAATTGATTCTGGATGGAGGGGTCAGTTAAGGCCCAGAGAAAGTGACATTTCTTCTGGATCAGATAGGAGAACAGTTGAAGGGGTCTCAACAGTTGAAGGGATTAGCAAATAACACTAGCAAGGTTCTTACAAATTATATTTTTTTATTTGAGATTAATTCATAGTAAAAATCTTAGCAAATGTTATCAATATTGAATGAGGCTTAGCAGAACATTTCATTAAAAGTCTGTAGCAAAAAGCTCAAAATTATAAGATATCAGGACAGTAATGTGCTGGTAAATTAACAATGGACTGGGAGGTGTGGGAGGCCTGATGTGTAGAATTTGCCCATTTCTAGGATGTGAATACTCCAACCATAGCTGATTTTAAGCTTCATTAGTCCCCCCTTATCCAAAGGGGATACAATCCAAGACCTCTAGTGGATGTCTGAATCTGCAGATAGTACCAAACCCTATGTATACGGTCATATGTTGCTTCTGGACAGGGATAAGTTCCGAGAAATAAATTTTTGGTGATTTTGTCATTGTGCAAACATCATAGAGTGTACTTACACAAACCTAGATGGCAGAGCCTACTACACACCTGGGCTCTATGGTACAGAATATTGTTCCTAGGCTACAAATCTGTATAGTATTTTACTGTACTGAATACTGCAGGCAACTGTAACACAATGGTAAGTGTTTGTGTATCTAAACATAGAAAAGATACAGTGTTTGTGTATCTAAACATAGAAAAGATACAGTAAAAATACAGTATTATAACCTTATGGGACCACTGTCCTATATGTGTTCCATTGTTGACTGAAACTTCGTTATGTGGCCCATGATTCTACTGTGTCTTTTTGATTTGATAACCGCAAAGGCCACTAAGTGACTAATGGACAAGGAGCATCTACAATGCAGATACACTGGACAAAGGGATGACTCACATCAAAGTCTGGGTGGAGAAGGCTGGCACAGATTTCATCATGCTACGTGGAACAGCAGGCAATTTTAAACTTATGAATTGTTTATTTCTAGAATTTTTCATTTTGTATTTTTGAACCCCAGGTAACTGAAACCAAGGAAAGTGAAATCATGGAGATGAGGGAACTGCTGTACCAGAAATATCAATGGACTCATAAAATTCCTAAAAATTTAACTATTGGCTCTCAGAAGCCAGTACACCAGGGATGCCAGGAGCACTCTGGGGAATAGAGAACTTGGATTTTCTTATTATGGTGCCCAGGACAGTGGAGAAGACTGATCCAATGCCCTGATCAGTGCACACTTGGAGGCCAGAGTCTCTGGAGGTGGATGAGACTTCCTATTGACTGAACTGCATGACTACTGAATCAGGCATGGGTTTTATTTGCAAGAAACAGAAACCTCTGGCTATTTTAATCAAGAGGTATAGATAGCTCACAGATTTTAGGTGATTCATAGATCAACGTTAGGCTTCCAGTAGCAGTGTCCAAGACCAGGATAAGAAAATCCTCACCACTGCCAAGCAGTCAATGGCAAGGTCTGCCTTAAATCTCTATAGCAGGGCCTGCCACCCCTCCTTCCATCAGCTCTATGCCACTTCTGCTGCTGCTTCCACAGAACACCAGACTCCATTATAGTAAAAATAAAAGACAGACATCAGGCCTGTTTGTTCCCACGCTCCCTCTCTTCCAAAGGGATGGCTCCCTGGGAGCTTGTGATTGGTTGGACATAGGTCCGGTGCTTGCCTTCCTGCTGCACAAAAGTCTAGGTTTGAACTCTGTGCAGCTACTTGGGGAGTAAGATTCATAACTCATTCATTTCTCTAAAACAGAAAGACAAATCAAAAGTCGGAGGGCTAGTATCCTTCACAAAGTCCACTGAGATTAGCTTTAGGCCCTCCTCTGCCTTGCAGAAAGGCTCCCACTGGAACTCAATATTGCTATTCCTTAACTTCTTTCTACAAATAAAAATGTCACCTGCTAGGGAGGAATATAGGACACATTATGCCTAAGTTCTTGCCCCACTGTTTCTACACTATCACAAAAAGAAGTATTGTAAACTCTAACATTGTGTAGGAAAAACAGCCACACTTGGGATCAGACAGAGCCCATTGCCTAGGCCCTCTGTGCCTCAGTTTTGTCAACTGTAGAATGGGGACAATAATAATACTCTACCTCATTTGTTGTGGTGAGGATTCAATGAAATCTGCTAGGTAAAGAAACCTGTATCACAGTGGTGCTCAGAGCCTGTTAAAACTTTTTATGAGGGGCAATATGGCATAGTGGCAAGAGGATGACTTTTGGAGTCAGACAGACAAAGTGATGGATATGACTTGAGCTTCTGTTTTCCCATCTCTAAAATAAAGATAATAATAACAATGCCTGACTTACAGGGTTGTTTTAAAGATGAAAAGAATGTAATCTGTCTACCACAGGATCTGGCTTATAATAATAATTGCTCAATAAATAAGTCATTATCAATGTTATTACAATTATTTATGTCATGATACAGCATGGCCTAGGTGAGAATATTAGCTGTTCCCAACTTGATTGACTTCTCCGAAGGCATCTTGATTAAGAAATTAAAAAACTGCAAAGAGTTCTATATTTTTTGTCATGATTTATGTCATATATTCTGGTGTACAAAGCACATTCATTGTCTCATTTGCACCCTATGCTGTTCTTGTGAGGTGATATGGTTTGGCTGTGTCCCCACCCAAATGTCATCTTGAATTGTAGCTCCCACAATTCCCATGTGTTGTGGGAGGGACCTGGTAGGAAGTAATTGAATCATGGCAGCAAATCTTCCCTGTGCTATTCTCCTGACAGTGAATAAGTCTCACGAGATCTGATGGTTTTATAAAGGGGAGTTTCCCTGCACAAGCTCTCTTCTCTTGTCTGTTGCCATGTGAGACGTGCCTTTCACCTTTTGCCATGATTGTGAGGTCTCCCCAGCCACGTGGAACCGTGAGACCATTAAACCTCTTTCATTTGTAAATTGCCCAGTCTCGGGTATGTCTTTATCAGCAGCATGAAAATGGACTAATACATGAGGCAAGCAGAGCAACTCTTTAAGACCACTATTATTTCACTCCTCTGCCTTGCAGCATAAAGAAAGAGTCTGCTGCAGAAAGGTTAAGTGATTGTCTCCATCACACAGCATATTAGTGATAGAGCTGAGGCCAAAGGGAAAGACTTCTGGGTTTGTGTGGAGTGTTCTCCCCACCACTTCATGCTGTGTTTTAGTTTTTCTTGCATCTATTTATTAACTTTTGTATGTCAGTCTCTATGCTAAATAAGTTCTGCTGATTCAAAGATCATTAAAAGACAGTGTTTGCCCTCTAACCAAAATAATTTAAGAAAACATTCCACCACCACCCCCAGAGAATTTAATAGAAAATACTTTTACCAATTACGTTTCTCCCAATATTTCCAGAATTGTATTCACAAATAGAATGTCATATTTAAAATAGAACAACTCCTTTCACTTGAACCATCACATATAAAATTAACGTAATAACATGAAAAGCCAATGTTAAAATTAATACAGTGAAATTTTTAAAGCATTACTTTTTAACTTGTTGGAAGTTATTTCATTTTTCAAATTAACTTCACTACTAATAAACCAGCCAGTTTGCCAAGAGAAAGCTAAATTAGGTGCCAAGATATATCATTTACAACAAGCAAATTCGAAAACTTCTTAACTTTCTTTCTTTGGGTCTGGATCTGGGTCTCCTAACACAGTTTTCCTTCTGGCTTTGTTTTGACCCCAGCCACTGTGAGAAGAATATATAAAACACTATGGGTTCCAGAATGTTCTGTCCTTGGAAGATCTCCATTTGGAGGTTTTGGCCAAATGTCCTATTAATTCCCCTATGACTAAGGCACTTTGGGGTCAGCAGAACTTGGGGTCTACAGGGATTACAGAAAAGGACTGGGTACAGAGTTCACACCAAGGCTACGTGTTTCAAAAACTTGGGGCAAAGCCAGACCCTGCTTCACGGATTTGGAAGAGAGTTTGCTTAAAGAAGCTTTTCCCTAGTAAAATCTTCTTAAGTTAATATTCTTGTTCTTTTATTTCCAATAATAGTAGCAGCCACCACTCAATGAGAGTTGTGTATGCGCCAAGCACTTTGCTTACACTATTTCTAATTTTTATAAATAATAAAGTTGTGAGGTATTCTAATTCCTCTTTTACAGTGACACAATTGAGACAAAGAAGATTTAAGTAATTTTTCCAAGGTCACGTAATAAGAGGCGGAGATGACATTTGAAACCAAGGCTGGTTTTATTCCTCCTTCCTCTGTGCTGCTGCTGCCTCATCCAACATCTCCTACCATAGCCACAGGGTGATCCATCAAGTATGTCCACACAGGGAATTTGAATTGTTGGTCTAAACATATTTACTGATAGCCACTTATACATCCAGCACTATATTAGGCACTGAGGAATCTCAAAGATGAATTCTAGGCTTTAGCTTATTTCTTGACTTGGAAAAAAATTTCCTTTTTGGACATTGTCTTCTCATTTGCCAATTGTCTATTTCTCTGACCACTGGACACCAGACAAAAATTAGCTTCTTCCAGCCAGGTGTAGTGCCTCATGCCTGTAATCCCAGCACTTTGGGAGGCCGAGGCGGGTGGATCACAAGGTCAAGAGATCGAGGCCCTCCTAGCCAACATGATGAAACCCCATCTCTACTAAAAATACAAAAATTAGCCAGGCACGGTGGCACGTGCCTGTAGTCCCAGCTACTCGGGAGGCTGAGGCAGGAGAATCACTTGAACCTGGGAGGCGGAGGTTGCAGTGAGCCGAGATCATGCCACTTTATTCCAGTCTGGCAACAGAGCAAGACTCCGTCTCAAAACAAAACAAAAATTCTCCTACTTTAATTCATATTGCATGCAAAGATTGTTGTTGAACTTCCTTTGGAGAATACCCTGAGACCCTTGGCCAGAATTGGCTCTAGATTCATAGCACCATAAGTAGGACAGCTGAATGATGTTGTTCAGTGATCCTCAAATCAGAGGGTGAGGAATAGAAAGGGACAATATAGGAGTGGGGTGGGGGATGAAGAGTATTTTGAAAAAGTACAATCAATATTATAATCTAGTGTTATATTTAGAAAATGAAATGCATTGCTGTCATAATGCAGACTTTGAAAATATAACTTGACTATAACTTCTTTGCTAGTAGAGTACTGGTATAAAAAAGCTGAGTTGAGAAATGCTGCTCTACGTATATGTGAGTTGACTGGGGAAACAAAGCTTACCCCTCAGTCTTGATTCCATGGCCAAGATCTCAAGTCCATGCAAAGACTTGTTCTGTTTGCAAAACTCCAAGTCATCATTTTAGTGACTGGAATTCAGATGTGTGTTTAGTTTTATTTGTTTTGTTCTTTATCTTCCTCACTTGAGAGAGAAATAAACCAAGGTTTTCTTCTCCTAAATGGGCTAGGAGGGAGAAAAACATGAATAGATTATGTTCTAATGGGTTACCAAAGATTCCTACACACCCGCCTGGATTCCACTCAAATCCAGAGGCAAAGAGCACAGAGCATGCCTACTTTATGAAGCAAGAATGTCTGGTAAATCTACCTCTGATTTCATAGGATTGAAAATGGGTTCTGGCCATCAACCACACTGAGTCAAGACATGTATGCTTTCTGTGTCCCCCCACCCCACCCCACCGGCCACTCTTCGCCCTCCCTCATCACTGGCCAACTCATCACCTTTAAAAAATCCTCATTCACTGGCTATTTTACAGCAGAGCCTCAGGGGAGCTAGGACACATTAGTAATCACAACTAGTTTCTGAAACTAATGGCAAAAATCAATAATTTACTAAAAGGAAGGAATAGGAGGAAGGAAAGAAGAGAGGGAGGGAGGGAAGAAGGGAAAAAGGGAAGGAGGAAGGTAAAAGGGAAGGAGAAGGGGAGGGAAGGAGAGGGGAGGAAAGGACCACATGCCTGGCAAGGTATATAAATTCATCTTTCTGGAGGCAATGAGGAATGACTAGGGTTCTGACCAGCAAAAGAATATTGTAAGTGATCAAAAGTTAAGAGAGGACCTATCAAGGTAGGTGGAGAGCGTTAGATCCAGGCCTTATGTTTAGAAGGGGAATGAACACAACATTTTCATCCAAGTATTAATTTGCTAGACAATTTAAATAAACCATATTTGTGATTCTTTTGGGCAATTTATTTTTCATTTTGTAATATAGCCGGACCACTCAGAGGGCCTGGTTAAGATCCTTAAGATAGAGGGTGGGGTACAACAAACCAAACAAATGTAGACCTCTCAGGATACAAACAGAAACTAGGAAGCAGTCCCTAATCCCAGAAAGAAAATGGCTTCTAGGAGAAATGCATGGCCCACTAACATCTGCATAATTTTAAGCATGACTCTCTCCTTTTATGGATTTTATATATCATAAATCTGCCTAAAATTCAGAAAAAATTTCCACAGCTCAAAAGAAATAAAGTTTAAAACATAAATAAATACCATTACAACAGAAAAACCTCCTTCTGAGAGCAATGTTTAAAACTAGATAGAACATCAAAACAAAACAGTCTATTTGAAATATTAAAGAACAATAAATAGTAAGAAATTCCTGGGACAACATCTAGAAAAAGGCAGTACCCAAAGAGATAACATTCAAAGTTACTCTGTCCTAAGGGCATTTGCCAGTATAAAGCAAAAGCTACAAATCGGAACTGCAGTTTTTGTGGACTTGCGGGTGACGCAAGTCAAAGTGCAGATTCTGCCCAAGGTGGGTTCTCTAGTAAGTCACCCTCCTCTGAAACTGGGCCCCTGAAGGTCAAGTAGCCTTCCCATGTATTTATAGCCTGGGTTTATGTCCTTTGCGTGGTCTAGGGAATAACAAATTTGAACTTGTTATTTCCCTATATACCCAAAAAACAAATAAAATCCCTTCTGAAAGATTTCCTCATACCAATCACAATTCTCAAATTGTTGTTACAAATAATTTCTACTGTATCTGGACATATAGTTTCTACTACAGCAGGACAGATTCACGATGGTGAAGAAAGAATAGTGGTTACCAGAAAGGGGATGATGGCATTGACTAGGAAAGGTCATAAGAAAGTCTTAAGAAATTGGATATATTCAATTCAAAGTTTTGTTCACTTTAATGTATGTATATTATTCTTGGGTTTTTAAAAATGTTTTTAAATTGTAAAGACAAGCACAGTCAAAGATAGTCAGGCACACAAAGGAAGAAAACTCCATGAGAGAAAGCCAGAAGAAACTACAGAGAATAGAAACAAACCAAAAAGACTTCAGATAGTGGAATTGTCAGACACAGACAATAAAACAACAACTGTTTACTGTATTTAAATAAATAAGGATAAATTTAAAAATACTTCAGAGAATAGAAAATGGTAATGAGTGGCATTGTCATTTAAAAAACCAACTTCTAAAACTGGAAAAATTTATAATAAAAATTACACGAACATGTTTAACATCACATTACACATGTCAGAAGAAAGTAAGAGTAACTGAAAAAAAGAACGAAAGAAACTATCCAAAATATAGAACTGAGAGAGAAGAGGCTAACAAAACATGCTTGTGGAAACCAAGCAAAAGCACCACTTGAAGGGAGAGTAATAGCCTCAACTGCATATACTTCCTTTTATTGAATCTATGATAGTATCTATTGTAAGATGTGCCAATAATTTATGTACTACAATGAGAAGAAAATGCTTGCAACTGAATCACGACATGCCATCAGTTGCAAGATGCATCTCAGTTTCAAAGATGTTAAAATGTGTAAAATGTTTGTCTTATAATACATGAAGTATGGTATTCAGAAAGTAGAAAGGCTTAAAATCAATAAAATAAACATATCTCTCAAAAAGTTAAGAAAGGAATATCAGAAAAACCCTAAGAAATATAAAGAAGGGAAAGAGTAAAGATAGGAACAGCAATCAATAAAATATGAAACAAATAGTTCAAGAGACTATCAACAAAACTTAAGATTGGTTCTTTGAAAAGACTAAGAAAATTAATAAAACACTGATAAAGCTGATATTTTAAAAAGAAAAAAGATACCATTATATCATAAATGGAAAAAATAAGGCCTTACTACAAATCTTGCAGACATCGCAAAGATAATCAAGTAATACTATAAATAGTTTTATACCAATAAATTAAACTTTTTGATGTAATAGAAAAATGTCTTGTGAATATATATAACTTACTAAAACTAACACAAGAAAAAATATACCATCCGAATATCTCATAAGCATTAAAGAAATTGAATTGTACTAAAAAAGTCTCACATTCAAAAAACAAACAAAAAAATCTAGACCCAAACAGTCAAGAAAAAACAACAACAAAAAAACTTTAATCTTATGCTCTGTTCTGGGGAAATGAGAGGAAGAGGAGACAATTCTCAATTCATGTGATGAGGCCAGCAAAACAATTCAGTATGAAAAAGGAAAGCAATCTTGAGCAAAATCATTAGTTAACTAAAGCAATACATAGAAAAGATAATAGGTAATGACCGAGTTGGCTTTATCCCAAGAATTCAAGTTTTGTTTAAAATTAGAAAATAAATCAATGTAATTTACTTCATTAGCAGATCAAAGAATCATATGATCATCTCACAGACAAAAGGAAGCATTCAACAAAATTTAATATACATTCATGATAAAATTATATATAATCCTCTTTGCACATTAGGTATAGAGATAACTTCCTTATCATAAGAAAGGATAGCTACAAAAATCTACATCAAAAATGTCTTGCTTAATGGTGAAATGTTAAAATATTTACATTTGAGATCAGAAAAAAGGCAAGGATGCAAGCTTGCTTTCACTTCTATTAATCATTGAACTGGAGGCCCTTATCAGCACAACATGAAGAAAAGAAAAAAAAGAAAAGAAAAGAAATTAGAGCTATAAAGTTTGGAAAGAAACAAAACTGTAATACAATTTTTAATGTAGAAAACCCCTTAGAAACTATATTTAAATTATTAAAATTGATAACAGGGTTTGGCATATTTGTTGGATACAAACTCAATATATAGAAATCAACTGTATTATTATAGTCCTTTGATAAAAATCTAGAAAATAACATTTTTAAATCACATTATTTAGTACAGCATCAAAAATATCAAGTTCCTTGGAATAAATCTAGCAAAAGATATGTGAGACTACTATGAAGAAAACTGGAAATCCTTATTAACAGTCATTAAAGAAGAGAGCTATTCCATGTTCATGGATGGGGAAACTTAGTGTTACAAAAATGTCAATTCACCATTGTTTTAAAAGTCATTGTAATTCCAGTCAAAACTCAATAGGTTGTTGAGGATTTTGACAGGCTGATTCTAAAATTTCTATGGAAGTGCAAAAGGAAAATAAGTATCTTCTTTAAGACAATCTTGAAGAAGAAAATCAAGGTGGGAGAATTATGTATACCAGATACCAAAACTTATTTTAAAGATACAGTAACAGACGTTGTGGTATTGGCTCAAGGGTAGATAAATAAAACCGTAGAACTCAAAAACAGAAACATACATATATGGATTTAGTTTATGAGAAGTGGCACTGCAAATTAATGGGGGAAAGAGGGTTTTTTAATAAATTATAATGGAAAAAGAAAAATGCCAATGAATTCCTAGCTCAAACTGTATGTAAAAGTCAACTCCAGGGGGATTATGGAGCCAAATGTGAAAGACAAAACTATAAAGCTTTTAGAAAAAAATACAGTAGGTCTTCATGATCTTGGGGTAGAGGATAATTTTTTGAACAAGATGCATAAAGTAATATTCATATTGAAAAAGACTGATACATTTGACTGCATTAAAATTAAGAATTTCAGTTTACCATAAGACACCACATTGCAAGTGAAATGACCAAGCTACAGAATTATAGAAATTATCTGAAAAGCATACAATCCCAGAATCGGTAAAGAATATCTAAAAATCAAATTTTAAAAGACAGAAAACCAAATACAAATGGGCAAAAAGTCGTAAACAGACGCTTCACAGTTACTAAGTCCAAATGGTCAATAAACATATGGAAAAGTGCTCAACCTCATTAATAATTAAGGAAATGAAAGTCAAAACCACAGAATACCAATACCACTACCATACACATTCATAAGAATGGCAAAAGATTAAAAGGTCTGCCAAAACCAAGTGTTGCCCAGAATGTGATTAGAGTAAAAACTGATACACTTACTTTGGAGAACAGTTTGATAATATAAACGTGTCCACCTTGGGTCTATGCCCTAGACTACAGAAACTTGCACACATGTACACCAGGATGAGTGTAAAGAATGTTCTACACAGCAGGCTGAAATAACCAAAAAAGAGACAACTGCAGATATAAATTGTGGTACATTACCAACTGGAAAGCTAAAGAGAAATGAAAGCAAATGACAGCCACACACAATAACATGAGTGAATCTTACAAATATATTGATGAAAAAACAACGTATGTAATTTGATCCTATTTACATAAAGAAAATGTTAGAGATGCCAATTTGATAGTCAAATTACATAGAAGATCAAAGAGATGATTGTATTGAATTGTATTGTATTGAATTGAGGATGGTGATTCCCTCCAGGGTCAAGGGAGAAAGCTGTCATCCTGAAGGAAACACAGGAAGCTTCTAAAATGCTGGCAGCATTCTATTTCTTAACCTCAGTGTGAAACATAGGTGTTGGCTTTATAATTATTCACATTATTGTGTATCTGTTTTATATACTTTTCTGTATGTATGTTATATTTTACAATTTTTGAAAAGTTAAAGAAAAGAAAAAAGTTACCAGACCCTATAATCACCAAGATCTCTTCCATTGCTGAATTCCTGGGTTTTGTTTATTTTCTTTTGTGTTTTTTTTTTTTTCATTTATTCTCTAAGCCAGAAAAGTGTCACCATGTTAAAAAGGGAATATATGAAAGAAGGGACTTTAGGTCATTCATCAGATAGATGATCTGGCTTTTCAGAGCCAACAGGTAAAGATATCTGCCTACCCACTGCAACCTAAAGGATACTACTGCAATTTCAGATCCTCAAGAAAAGCTGAAAATTCCTGAGCACCACCTGCATCCCAGAATGCCCCCTTAGCTCTGCAGGGAGAAAGAGATGGTAATTCAGTCTTTAGGGACAAAATATGCATGGGTTCTTTCTGGGAGATCTATAGGCCAGAGGCAGACCCTGGCCCAAATCAGACCCTAATGTCAACTCACATTAGAGAAAGAAATTGTAACCTCTTCTTAGTAACAGGTTTTCTTGCCAAAGCTCTACAGAGAGACCTTTCAGGTATAAACCAACTGGTCAAAGCAGGATGCCTGAAATCTCCAGCTCCTATTGGGGCAGGCAGATGTTATCTTTTTAACAGAAAATTTAGCACAATGCAAACTGAGTGTATGCTAAAAGCTTAGGCCCTGATTGTAGTCCTCCCATTCCTCAGAAAGTAGAATGCTATAGTGACTCGGATTAATCGAGTCAATCAATAAATAATTATTGAGCAAATGATGCGAGTTGGCCATCTCTACTAAAAATTGAGGTAATAACACTAAAAAGGCACATGTTCTACCTTGGAAGATACTTGAGAAGATAGTCATCCACAAATAAGCCCTTAACATACAATGAGAATAATCACTTCTACAGATTTCTGTGTTAAGTGCAGGGGCAGCACTAAAGAAGCAATTAAGGCTGGGCACAGAAGCTCATGCCTGTAACGCCAGTAGTTTAGGAGGCTGAGGTAGGCGAATCACTTGAGGCCAGGAGTTTGAGACCAGCCTGGCCAACATGGCAAAACTCTATCTCTACTAAAAATACAAAAATTAGCCAGGCATGGTGGTGCATGCCTGTAATTCCAGCTACTGGGGTGGCTGAGACACGAGAATCGCTTGAACTGGGAGGCGGAGATTGCAGTGAGCTGAGATCATGCCACTGCACTCCAGCCTGGGTGACAAAGCAAGACTCTGTCTCACAAAACAAACAAACAAACGAACAAACAAAAGAAGCAATTAAGTCAAAGAAGTCTTCATGAAAGATGTAACATATGTTCAATGATCCAAGAGTGTTTGAGGATAATATTTGGGTCAGTTGACTGGATAGAAAATCATAAACTTTTAAAGCCCTAAATCTAATACCTTTGAATTCTCTGACAGATGCTATTAAGATTCCTATGTCCTCTCTGATGACGTCTATGCAACAGCAAAATACCCCACTAAATGATTCTCCATGGTAATGATTGCTATTCCTGTTGCTATTAATTTTACTGAATTCACAAGCCAATAAGTTTGACATGTAGATTTAAAGTGGGCATACATCTCCTCCAATTGTTAGGTTTTAAAGCCTGCACTTACAGGGGAAAATTTCATATAGTCAAAAATACCCTTCACAAAGCCCCCTATTTTATCCACACATGACAGCATACATTATCCTGTGTATATACAGCCCTATACAATAATTTTTAGGCATGTTTAAGTGTAAGGACCACTGAGCTAGACTAACAAAAGACAAACAGGGCAGTCTCCATGAAGATGTCTGGGCATGCAAATAATTCTGGTTTTGATGTAATTATCAGACTCCTAGCACTGAAGGAGAGATGGTTGGAGAATTCTATAGTACTTCCAGCTTATCTGCATAGTTTATTCCATTCTGTTGTAAACTTACCTTCTCTAACTTTCTTTAACCTTACTATCTCAGCATGTAATAACATATGTATGTTCCTGCTATGTGTTTTCTTCTTTATGAGTCCATGGTTCACAAGATAAATGAGTCATCTAGGTAATTTTTTTCCTATCACTTCCATTGGATGATGGTAGCTTGATGCTGTTGAACTCTATTTCTGGAAAGACACGCCTATCCCCTGAAAGGAAAAGGTTTAAGTAGAGGGGGATTTTCCAGGACAACACTTAAATTTCATGTTTGCTCGACTCAGAAATATATCAGCTTAGAGACTGAAAGATCTTAGAAATCACCTTGCTTAACACTTAGCCAGCAGAGAGTGGAGGGAGTGACATATGAAAGTGAAGCTGACAAGGAGTAGATCTGTGTTCCAGTTTCACCTCTGCTATTGAGAAAACCACATTATCTCCTTGTGGTCCAAGTTCATCTACTTGTGAATGGAGGCTTTACTACATTTTTAAAATATGACCCCATCTAACTTGGGCTTGAATAACCTTGTCCAATCATTTAATCTTTCCATACCTCAATTTTCTCATCTGTAAAATGAGAATAATAATAGTTTCTACCTTAAAGGATGTTATAAAGATGAAATGTCATAAAGGATTAAATGCGTAATTATATGCATATATTTATACACAGTATATGTATATATGTGTGTGTGTATATGCATACACACACATACATACACACATACACACACATATAGAGAGAACAGTATGCACTCAGTAAAATTTGCTGCCATATAAGAATATTATTGTTACTGTTATTAGGCTGTGATTCTTTCTTCCTGCCATATGAAATCCCAGAAGTCCAGCCCAAGAAAGCGTATCACAAGTTACACAATGATTACCAGTTAATTCCACATTTTGTGAACTTCTACTGATCATGAATATCTAAACTAAGCCAGGCACCTACCCCCACCCACCCCCCACACACTACAATACACCAGTTTCCAACATGGCAAGTGGCCCACAGCTGAACCATTTACACAGCCACATCTCAAAGGCAGATGGGTAATCCAATGATGATGTATAAGCACCTTTCCCCACCACAATTTATTTTATTCTAATTATATAAAAGTGCTCTGGGAAGCAACCTAATCAAGAACAATTTAAATTTTGCAAATGAACAAAGAGTTTCCAGTGTAAATTCCCAGATCTCATTATAACAAACATGGATGAGATACAGCTACAGCCTGGCCTACACAAATGCCCTCAAAATATTCTCAACAGGGAGTAGGACTAGATGGCTTCCAATGATTCTTCTAACCCTAGAATACTAGTATTCCATTGGCTAATATTACATTCAAAATGTAGGAAGTCAAATGGAAAATAATTATCAACAAAGGTGTATTCATGGTGTTTATTTAAAACTATGTAGTAAGGGTCAAGGCTGGAACTTTATATTCCACTAGCCACTTTCTTTGCCCTGCTTTGAGTGCCTTCATCGGGTTAACTTCCTTTTTAACACTGGCTTGGTAGTTTGTTTCCCCAGGTTCTTAACTTTCAACATGCTCTAATAAGTCACTCTCTTGCTTCTCCAAACAGGCTTGACCAAAGCTGTGCCCCCTCCTCCTATAGAAATTATGTTGTAGTATGGTTTTTCAGAATCCCCAGCCTTTTTAGGTTGCAATTACCAGCAACCCTGTACCTCCTCGGTTTTTATTTCAGCCTCCATATAAAAAAAAAAAAGAAAGGAAAAAAGCAGATGATTGTTTAATCCTTCCAATTAACATTTTATAAAAGCAATCACTTCATGTCTGCAGTCTGAGTGGGGCTAGGTGGGAATTAAAGGGCCACAGTACATCATAAAGTGGCTAAAAAGAAACACTTTGAGCCAATTCACTGGGGACAGTCCCTGCAAAACCAGAATGTCTACTCACTTTGACCTACAGCAAAAAGTGTCAAATAACTAGGACAAGTGCTAGTGCAAACCACTGGTCTAGTCGTTAAACCTTAGCACAGCCACTGGGTAAATGGGGCCACACTCAGACCCACCAATTAAAGAAGCAATCTGGCGGAAAAAGAAACATTGAGTTTTTTTCTTTTCAAGTTTTTTTTTTTTTTTTTTTCTCCCTCAGAAAGACCTGAAGACATAAGTGATGAGAGGAATAGCACTCTGGCCAATATTTTGGAGTTTTCTACTTAGGAAATCAACATAATCTTTTCTACCTAAGTAAGGTGAAACCACTTTGTTATATCAGGAACTGCTGCTGCTGGGAGCTAGGCTCATGGCAGCCTAGTGAACGAGGCCCTGTTTTCTGTTAATGTGTTTATGGTTTACACAGAGAAAATGATAGCATTTTAAGAGGCAAAAGAAAATCCTTGGTCAGCAACCAGGCAGCCTTCTAGCCTTCTAGCCTTCTATCAGAAGTTGTGCTAAAGGGCAGTTGACAACTTGAGGCTCACTGTTCTGGGTAGATGAGATTTTCAGGCAGGTGGATCAAGGCAGTGATGGAGAATAACAATAAAAGAGCTAACATTTCTGCTGTGGCAGCTCTGAGGTAGTTCCTGTGTGAAGCCCTTTATACGTATTAGCATACTTAATAGTTTCAGTAACCCTAGGGACAGTTTCTATTAATATCTCCATCTTTCAAATAGAGAAACTGAGGCACAGAGTTATAAGAAAATTATAGGTCACAGAACTAGAAAACCATCATATCTCATCAATAACACACCCACCATACATTCCTCTCCTGCAGCATCTCTGGCTGAACTTCATTTATCTTCTTTCAGAGCAACTGCAGCAAGATGGCCTTGCTTATAAGGTACAAAAGTCAAGACCCGGTAACACCTCCTACATTTATTTGAATAAAGGCATATCATTTTCAAAAATTAACGTATCCTATTGGGCCCCACAACACCTTATGGGGTAGAAAAGGCAAGACTATTTATTTTGTTTCCAAATTCTCTTTGAAATTGTATCCAGTGACTAAGCATTCTCTGTGATTAAACTTTTAGAAGTTTCTTTCAAAACAATAATTGTCAAGATAGAGTAAGTCGACAACTTTACCCATTTGTGGCAGGAAAACAGACAGGTTGTCTTGTTTGGAGCAGTGTCTGAATGTGGGGTGAGAGAGGGAAAGTGCATTATGAAACCATAGGGATGGTAGCCAGCACACCCCAAGTAGCTCAGAGACTCATGAGCACAGGCAATGATTCTGTGTATTTTCTCTGCCTTGTTTCTACAGGCTTTTGAAAATTAGGCCCAAATAAAGTAAGCACTTCTGAAAGATAGAGCCATTTGGGAAGTTGACATTTTCCCTAAATTCCCTATTTTCTATTTTTACTCCCATTTCTGAGTCGTGGTATAAAATTGCAGGCTCTGCAGAGATCTCGAGCAGTGATCAAGTCCCGGCTTCTATACTTACTAATAGCAGGACCTACAGCAAGGTACCTCATCAGTCTGGGTCTCAGTATTTTCATCTGAAAAATGGAGATTTTGGCTGAGAAAATCAAAATAATGTAGATTGTGCTGAGCGTAGTTTTTGGTACTTACTAATCATTGAAGAACACAATCCTCATCTCTACCCCCTGATTAATGTTTGCTATAAGTGAGGATGTGAATAAGGCATAACTAGTAATGTACAATATTTCAGACTTTCAAAAAACCGTGATAAGATTTCATACCTGTGGCCACATTGGGTCACATAGCATCAGAGAACTGACTATCTCAAGGCTTTGAAATGTATTTTAAAACAGGACACAACAGATTGGGATAATCATATACTTCACTGTGTCAAAAATTGCTCACTTTGGGGTTCCCCAGAGATTTGTTCTTTGAATAATCTTGTTTAACATTTGAATAGATGACTTAAAAAATCAAATCCTAAAATGCCTGCCAATAACACAAAGAGCTTCTGGGCAGTAAAATACCTATCAAAATGATAAAGTTAAACATCAGGCTAAATGTTTCAGACTTGCAAGAGACCCACTTAAAAGCTTAGTTGAAATCAAGCAAACCTGAGTTTGAATCCTGTCACTTGTTAGATGCATGAAGTGGCGCCAATTATTTAACCATGCCATCCCTCTGTTTCTTCACTTATAAATTGGGAATGCTAAGAGTGCCTGCTTCATAGGTTGCAAGATTACGTGAGATAATCCAAATGAGGTCCTTCCTCAGCACTATGCCTAAGCATACGAAGCAACTGATGAATGTTAGTAAACGTTGGTGTTGGTGACAGTGGCGGTGAGGTGGTCATACGATGATGGTGATGATGGTGATAGTAGTAGTAGTGGTGGTTATAATGATGGTCTTTGTAGTGGTGGTGGTGAGGTGGTCATATTATGATGGTGATGGTGATGGCGATAGTAGTGGTAGTGGTGGTTATAATGATGGTGATGGCCATAATGATGGTGGTGGCCATGGTTGTGGTAGTTGTGATTATCATGATGTTGATGGTGATGGTGATGGTGGAGTTCTTTCAACAGCCATCCTATGCCAGCTCTTTGCCAGCAATGCTGTCTCCTTGGCAAATAGTCACTAACATTTCCACCTGAATTTAAGAAACATGAAGCTGTTCTCTGAAGCATCTCCTGGCCTACAACAGAGAACTGACTACTCTGGATATTGTGCCTTCTCTGTTTCTCATGTATATATCCATTCTAATACCTGTAATGTCTTATTGTATTTTTGTATTTGTATCCCTAACTCCCCTAGTAGACTATAAACTCCTTGAGGGTAGGGATATTATTATTCTTTATATCTCCAGTGCGAGTAAAGTGCCAAGCTCATACAGGTACTTAATAAGTGTTTGGGAATAAGTGGTAAATGAATGAATGAATATGTGAATGAATATGTGAATGAATATGTAAATAAAATGGCAGCAAAACCATGGGCATTATGTGAAAGGCAATAACTTATAAAGGACCTGCTTCTATACTTTAAGAAAAATATAAAACTGGAAAAGTTCCAATATACTGAATTTGGAGGGTGATGGAAAAAGAATAAGGGTAGTAAGGCTTCAATTCTTAGACTCATGAGGACATTAATAAGGTGAATAAGTACACAGTCACAAAAGAACAGAATATTGCAACTCAGACTTACAACTGTGATGTCTGAAAGTATTACTAGAACAATAAAATCAAGTACTGCTTTCATCATGGATGAATGTATGAATCCAAGAGCTAATTCAAGCTGAAAAATACAAATGGGCTTTCCAAAAACTGAAAATAATTTACTTACAGTTGACTGAAATCCCATTTATATTTTCATTCAATTCAACAAATCATTAAGAAGCACCTACTCATAAGCTTGGGACTGAAATACAGACATGAAAAATACAGCTCCTGCCCTGGAGAAACTTATATTTTAGTAGGAAGACAGATGTAGGCAATCATTTATACAGTGCTTCTCAAATCATCTATGGTAAGGAATCACTTTTTTCATTTCCAATGTGTCACAGACTGTTATTTTTGGAAAACACAATAAAAATAAACGATTAGAAAAATAAAATTATCTAAAGATATACAAAATATAAGCCCCAATTTTTTGTAGTTATTAGAGTCAACAAACAAAATTATTGTCAAATTGCCGTAACTTACTAAATCATCAATTTCTATACTTTTCTCATCATGGAATATTAACAATTTGCAGACCAGCAGGGGTCCATAAGCCATATTTTGCGTAGTATTGACATTTAATACACTAAGTTTGTTGCTTTAACAGAGATAATAATTGGAGGACAAGAAGTTTTTAAGAAAACTTACATTATTTGGGAACCAAGCGTACTTGACTGATATATAATCCTCAAACCTTACCTATCCCTCAGACTGAAGACCATTTTTCTCTTCCTCTCCAGTATCTATTTTCTTAAAAATATAGCCCACATTTTCTGCCTCATCACCATGCCAGGACTATTTCATAGCCTAAAACAAAATAGCATCACTACACTTTTTCATATTTCTCTTGTAATATTTATATCCTGCCACCTGAGATAGCTATTGATCTCTTTTCCCATTAGATGTTAAGCTCCTTAAGGGCAAGAGCTTTATCATATTTACCTTAATATCCTCCACAGCACCTGGCAGGTACTCAATTATTGCTTGTGGAATGAGTGAAAAAAAGTGAAGTAATGAATGAACAAGTGAACCAGCTACTACTCAGTGCCTCCGAAAACAGATTATTGAGATGTACTATGTTTTAATGTATTTGATATCAAAGGTTAATGCATCCCTTTGGACTTAAGCTGCTGGAATCACTTAATTTTTCTATACTTGTTCCACATGTGAAATTCCAACCGACATCATGAAAGTTTGATTAAACAGACCAAGAACAGTATACCTGATGGATGTCAATTCCCCCAGGGCAGGATGTGGATCTGGAAACCAGAAGACTCGACACTACAGAGCTGAAAGTTCTCAAAAGGAGCACAAGTCCTCTGCCCGGAGTAAAACGATGTGTACTTCACCTCCAAAGAAGAAACAACGCAAGTTCAGAGACACAGAGGTGTCTGGATTAAGTCTTCATATTTTGAGCCTGTCGTTCCTCTCATATGTCCCACTCCCTTTTCATACTGTATTCACTTCCCATCGTAAGGGGTAAAAACTGGAGGATTCAGTGGTATTGCAAAAATATTTCCAACCTAAGGAAGCAAAAGGACAAAGCAGTTTCAGCTTCCGAGATTATTCTAGCTCCTCAGAACCTCTTGTTGCCCTTGAAGCTGGTTTCCTGGAGAAGCTAAGATTCCCAGGACTCTGCAAGCAGCTAGAGTTATCTGGTGAGTGATCAGAAGGCTTCTGGGAGGAGGCCCAGCTGGGATTCCTTCCAAACCGTATCTGCACCACCTGTAACTCTTTAGTACGTTTGCCTGCCAGAAGATCGACCCAAGCCTGAAGGGGGATGGGGAAAGCTGCCATTCCAGAAAGAACCACCAGCCAGCTTTGGCAGCAGAAGGGCGTCCTTGTGCATTGAGAAGGAGTCAGGACTTCCAGCGAAAGGCACCTCGCCAGCCCTGGTATGCAGATCCAGGACCTGTGCCCACTCAGCCTGCCCCAACTTGCCCAGGAGAGAGAGAGGCCAGGGAAAAATGGAAAAGGTGTTCATTCCCCCACCTCCTTCCAGTTACAGCCAGTTCCAGGCTCCTTTGAAGTCCTGGCCCAGGAGCCATGACCGGTACTAATGCTGGGGCTTTTTCAGTGAGTCTCTGAGATTCAGGTTTTTTCTCCTTCTCTGGAAGGCAGACCAACATAAATCAAAAAGCACAGGCTTTAGGAGCAGATAAACCTCAATTCAAATCCTGGCTGGGCCATTCACTGGGTTTAGAAACCCAAGGAAGTTATTCAACTTGTCTTAACCTTGGAGTTGTTATTTGTGAAATACCATTAATCTAGCCCAGAGTTTCTCAACCTCAGCACTATTGACATTTTGGACTAGATATGTTTTTGTGGGGGTGGGAGGAACTGTCCTGTGCATTATAAAATATTTAGCAGCATCTCTGGCCTACCCACTAGATGCCAGTAGCACTCTCCCTCTCCCAGTGGTGACAACCAAATAAATGATTCCTGATAGTGGCTAATATTCCCCTTGAGGGAGGGAGTAGTAAGTCACCCCCAGCGGAGAACCACTAACCTAACCCAATTTTTAGGATTGTTGTTTTTTACATATTAGTACAATTATAGAGAGTCCAGTACCTATGAATGAGCAAAAGAAAAGCACCCAAGAATTATTAAATCCTGTGGCAGATGCCATTACCACTCCACCCACATCCCCTCAGCTCTCACCTCAGTACACTGATGGGGCTTCCCACAACTGCCTGGGACTCTCTGGCTTTAGGAGTACAGTTTTTCTGCACACAAACCAATTTCATTGTTGAGGCCCTCAGAAACAGGCTTTAACCACTGATAGATGATGAGTTGGTGTATAAATACCCCAGCTTCCTAGCTGCTTAGTTGAGATAATTCTAAGGAGTGTTCTCCACTATTTCCCAGAAATTCCTAGTAAGATCAGACTCCATTGTCTATAGTGGTAACTGGTTGTATAACACACCCCATCCCTATCCAATTTTCCTACTACCCCACAGGTGTGTCCTAGGATTACTTCCCAAACTGCACAATTTCCTCTATCTTTCATGTGTTTTTTTTTTTTTAGGAACCTACTACCTACAAATTATGCCTTCTATTTCTTTCGTGTGTGTGTGTGTGCGCGTGTGTGTATGTGTGATGGAATCTTGCTCTGTTGCCAGGCTGGAGTGCAGTGGCGCCTGCTCGGCTCACTGCAACCTCCGCCTCCTGGGTTCAAGTAATTCTCCTGCCTCAGCCTGCCAAGTAGCTGGGATTACAGGAGTGCACCACCACACCTGGCTAATTATTGTATTTTTAGTAGAGATGGGGTTTCACCATGTTGGCCAGGATGGTCTCAATCTCGTGATCCACCCATCTCGGCCTCCCAAAGTGCTGGGATTACAGGCGTGAGCCACCACGCCCAGCCTATGCCTTCTATTTCTATAAATGTTCAACCTTACTGATTTATCAGGCTTCTCATTAGTACTTACCCAGGTCTGGTGTTTCCAATTTTTTTAAGTACCACAAATAAGCTACTGTTCTTCTCTGGGGACTACTGAAAATTGTGATCAACACATCCCAGATGGTCTCAATGCATGTAGAAAATAAGAAGTTAAAATCCTCATTTCTCGCTCAGTCCCTGAGCCCAATCTAAGCGCCATATTGCTGCCACATAGCTTCCTTCTAAAATGTACATCAGATCATGTCCGACATGAACCTAGTGGTCTTGTCTATTGCTGTAACCTCAGTCCCTAAAACCACAACTGGCACATGGTAGGTACTGGGTGCTATTTGTTGAATTACTAAGTGAATGTCATTTTCACGCTTAAAATCTTTGCATGCTTCCCTATGTTATCAGTAAAGGAAAAAGGCCAAACTCCTAAAATGATACATAAGGCAGAGGCTTCATGGCTCTATCTCTGTTTCCCTCTCCAACTTCATCTCTCACCACTTATGCATTCTCCCTTACTCCAAAATATATATAAATAACCTGTATTTTAGCCATCCCATACTCGTGGTTCCTATAAAATTACATACTTTTTATGGCTGTGATTTTGCATATGTTGCCCCCTCAAGTTGATACCAACAGGTTCCTGCAGAGGTGCTCAACTCTGACTTCCTCTGGATGGCCTGCCCTGATCCCTTTGAGTAAGGGTAGTCTTTTACTGCTCCCATTACACTATTGAAATTTCTGTTTGCTCAGTAATCTGCCCCACCAGAGAGAGAGAGTGTTTTGAAGTAAGAGTCCATGTCTTTGCTTTGCAGTTATTCCCATGCTTGACATATTTTAGGTGCTCAGAAAATAAATGCTTGTGCATTAATGAAAGGCTTTGATTGTTCTCTGTAGTAATATTTTGAAGACGCTTTAGTATGTTATCCTCATTCCTCTAAATCAGCAACTGACTTATGCCTAGAGAGAATATTGGGGAATCTTAGGGATTCCCTAACTGCTAACCGCCTTCAGAAAGATAAACCATGGGTACAAAAAGTGCATTATCTAAGCTTCCTATTGTTACAATTTGGCTTTACTAATCATGAGAAGAACATAGTGCCTTGGCCAAGGAGTAATGTGACACGCCACCTGAGCTTATAGAGGAGGCTCAGTGTATGAAAACAAACTCCTCCCACATTGCACAACCAAGTGGGTGGCTGTCATGAGAACCCAGAAAAGCTATTTGGAAGTGGTTCTCTTCATTGAGCTGAGCTCTTTCAACCCAGCACAGCTTCAAGATGGAATGTTTACAAATTCAACATAAGGCCTTAAACCTTGAAGCTCAAGCCCCATATTAGTGAGCTGGTTTTATGGAGACAGAGGGTAGAAAACAAGAGAAGAAGATGTACTGACTATGCTTCAAAGGTCCAATTAATTCTGCATCTAAATCACCTTCAGAGAGAAGGATCTAGCTGGGACACAATGACCCCTCCTCACTTCCCCACCCTTCTTCAACTCTCACCCTCCCAAAGCAAAGCTGGTTAAAAAGCCCCAGACATTTCCTTTCCAAAACTACCCTGAGACTTGGATAAAATCTAATCGCATGACAAAAGAAATTGTATTGAAAATGAAGAACACAATGAAAGAAGAGTTTTCACTATATTGATGCAATCATGCAACCGGCAAGCACTAAGCATCTACTTATGTGAACAGTTCATGCATCAGGAGGCACTTGTTTGCCTCGGGAAAATGACATTATTTATAAGGTGCACACGCCCTCTAAGACAAAGTATCTTGTCAAATGCTGAATATGATGTCTAAAAAGTAATAGATGTTCACATGATGCTAAGTCTCCTGTATCCTGTACCCTGTCAGTAGGGAGACATTAATTGAAGTCTCTATTGTGAAGTCTGTCTTACTGAGCTAAAAATCAACCAGCATCCATTTTCAACAAAATCAATGACATAGGTCCTCTACTAGGGCCACCAGCTAATTTTCCTCAGTTCCAATTTCCTAATCTTTAAATACCCTATTGATATCTGTTCATTTCACCAACAGTCATTCTACCACTACGTAATTATCCCTAGTTCTCTAAGCCCTTCAGTAATTTGACCACTTATAAAACTTGAATGAAATATGAATGTTGTCTTTTTCTTCCTGTGTTTCTAAAAATACCTTCCACTTGACAATACATGATAACATATGCCATCACAAGCACACTTCAAAAGTATGATCTACACAGCACAGGGGAGTCCCCTCAACTCAACAGGGAGTTCTTTGGGAATTGGTTCTAGGAGTTGGTCCATTTGAGGCCATGAAAGTTCCGTGTAGAAACAAAGGTAAAGGCTGAACTTTCTCAGAAAGAAATCATAGAACCACCAAATGCCCAAGCTCAAAGGAATTCCTGGAGACCACAAAACCAGCTAACTCATTTGACAGCTGAGGATACTTTTGGATAAACCAGGGAAGGTATTTAAAATGCTCAAGTCCCAATAACAAGGAAGGGGAAGCCAGGCCAAGACTCAAGCATTCTGATGTCCACACTCTCCTCTTTCTACTGCTCCACACTACCTCTCAATGAGCATTACCATTACTGAATCCCACAGCCTCCTGGACAAGCTTGCCTGGCATTGGCAGTGCCAGGCATTGGCAATGTGTTTAGCCAGTAGTTTAGACAACCCACAGGAAGAGGTGAATGTTCTTTGCTATGCAAGTGCTAACCATCTCAGGTTACTTTCAGACCAGTAATTCCACGTGGCCTTTATGAGAAGACTCAAAAAGTTACTTATCCAGGACCTTGTAGATAATTAATAGAATAATTAATTAGGGGCAGAGTAGAGACTAGATTCCAGTTCTCCTAACTTCCTATATAGCATACTTTCTCCTCCTTTAAAGTCTCCCATGCAGAGAAATCTCAAAGAGGAAATGATGGATTTCAACATTCAAGTCTCAAACCAATCATTTTGAAACCAACATACTATATAATATCCCATCCTACTTGTCTAACGTTGGCCAAAACAATCTCCTTCAGCTGAAACCTTCCTGGTCCCAACTTTTCCTGCTAAAGGCAAACACAAATCCAGCTAAAATAACTGCTACTGCTGTTGTAAATATTGTTAGCACTTGTAGGGCTCCACAGAATGAGAGGTAATTCTCTTTTTATGTGCAGCAGTAGCAAGGGTGTTTAAATGTCATCTTTATTTTGACAGTATTTCAGAGAAAGGCATTAATGCCACATTCTATTTAGATAAATTTTTATTATATTGAAGGCCAGTGCCTTTCCATATTGGATTCTCTTGATGGACAAAAGACTCTGAAATAGCACCCAAAAAAGTATTTTTTAAAGCACTATTGTTCTTATGGAAAAAAAATTTAATTCTGACAACAATGTATAGAGAAGGGTAGCCTGGCAGAATTGCATCAACAACGTCAGTGATTTAAATTTAGTTTTACTTTAACTCATGGCCCTAACACCTTCATTCTCCAAAGACTCCATCCCTGACTAACAGTCTCAATTTCTATGTGGTTTTCTTTTTTACATGTCATGCCTAAGATGTAATGAGTAGTTCAGCCTTTACACAGATTATCAGGTGAATTTAGCAAATGGTACACACAGAAAGAAGGTCCTTTTCCAAAAGAGAGAGAAAGAGAAAGAGAGAGAGTGCAAAGAAATAAATTCTCCTGGTTATTTAGTGCTGGTAAAGAGAGTATCAATTAGCATAGCCCGTTTAAAACCATGATGGTGAAACCAAATTAGAGCCAGAAAATGTTCAATCTTTTTGACAGTCACTCCTGGAAATAACTCCTAGAAAAGTTATGTAAGTAGAATATTCATTCCAATGTTAACCAGAATGGGGAACAGAGGCTTATATGCATGAGAAAATAAGGATGTCCATTGTCATGTTGACTAAAACAGAAGAAGGGTTGTGAGACAAAAACTGGAAAAAACCTCAATATCCAACAATAGAGATATACTGCAGTAAAATAGAGTATCAATGTGATTACATGTGCAGCCATTGAAAATAATTACAAAACTTATTAAAAATATTTTTAAAATGAAACATTCGAGAATACAAAAGAATATGTACGTTTTAATTATAGTAATTTTAAAATATGTCATTCCCTGCTTCAAAGCCTTCAATGGCTCACCACACAATCTCCTTAATATGGCCATTAGGCCCACCTTTGTCTGGTCTCTACATACCCCTCCAACCTTAACTCACCCCACTCCCTAACTGCCCTGGCTCTGAGTGTTTAGAGACCTTAGAAATTGCCTAAACATGTCACCCTCAGTGATCATCTGAGGCATCACTTCTTTGAGAAGGCATCCGTGACCTTCCCCACAGCAAGGCTTTCTATGTCAGCACTATCACACTGCATTGCAATTGACTGTGCACTTTTCAGTTGCCCCAAGTGGACTGTGAGCTCCTTTTCATCTGAGATCTTGTCTATCTTTCTCACAGCTGTGTCCTAGAACCTGGCACAGTGCCTGGCATATGGAGGGGCTCAACAGATGTGCATTGGATGGATGAAAAAATAAAAGAATGATCAGTGAGTGAATCAGTGAAGGAACCAATGAGCAAATATCATTGCTACTAGCCTCTCTGCTTCCCACTTTGAGTGAATAGCTGAATGCATGCGGACCTGTGTTCAACGCGGCAAATGCAGACAAGAAGAGAAGATAAAACATAAGAACCTGTGAATATTGGGGTAATTGAGCTGACCTCATTTTCAAATAGTTTTTAATATTGCGGAGAGTTTTGGGAGGTAAGGGTGTAGCTTTATTGAGATATAATTCACATACCATACAGTTCACCCATTAAAATTGTAAAAAACAATGGTTTTTAGTATATTCACAGAATAATAAAATCATCACCCCAATCAATTTTAGAACAGTTTTATTACCACAAAAAGAGTCCCCCTACTGCCACATTCATTAGCTATCACTCCCCACCCAATCTACCCGTCCTCCTCAGCCCTAAACAACCACTAATCTTCAGCCTCTATTGATTTACCTATTCTGGATCTTTCATTTAAATGGAATAATCTGATATATGTTCTTTTGTATCTGGCTTCCTCCACTTAGCATAATATTTTCAAGGCTCACCCATGTTGTAGCATGTATCACTACTTCATTCCTTTTTATGGCTGAATAATATTCCATCGTATGGACATATCATCTTTTGTTTTATCTATTCATCAGTTGATGGACATTTGGGTTTTTTTACCTTTGGACTATTATGAATAATGCTGCTATAAACATTCATATATAAGTTTTTATATGGGCACAGTATTTTCATTTCTCTTGTGTATATAGCTAGGATGAAATTTCTGGTTCATATAGTAACTCCGTTTAACTTTTTGAGGAACTGCAAGGATGTTTTCCAAAGTGACTGCACCATTTCACATTCCCACCTTCAGTGTATGACTCCAGTTTCTCCACATCCTCACCAATGCTTACCCTTCTGGCTCTTTGATTATAGCCATCCTAGTGGGTATGGAATGGTACTGTGGTTTTAGTTTGCATTTCCCTGATGACTAATGACATTGAATATTTTTATATGCTTTTTGGTCATTTGTATATTTAATATTATTCAAAATCTTTTTTTCAGTTTAGAAAAATGTTTATAATGAGGAATAGTTTCTAATAAATAGGATGTACATAGGAGATCATTCTGAGCTTGTAGTGATAACCACCAAAGGTAAAAAGTACAAATAAGATGGCTTAATGACCTATACTGGACAAAAGAGATAGCAAGCTTCATTCCTGACTCTGGGCAAGTTTCCTAGCTTCTCCAAGCCCTGGTTTCAACATCTGTAAAATGGAATACTAACAATATCTATATGATAGGTCTGGTGTGATAGTTAAATAAAATTTACATGTAAAACACATAGCATAGTCCCTAGCAAACAGTAAGAACTCAATAAATCTTTGGTGTATGAAACTATGGTAATTAAAATTAATCATTTTTTTTAGCTACAGGACTTATGGGAGGCTTTATTATGCAAATTTGCATTATGATTCTCAAAGAAGAAAGAATTTGTTTCCTAAATTTAATTGATCATGGAATCCTTGTTTCATAGGTCGTCTGGCAGAGCAAGTTGTCTAGGAACATGCCCTGGGAAATGCTAATCTACCTCTTCTCTCTTTAACCGACCAGGAAACTGAGACCATGAAAAGAACTACCCAAGATATTTAGTCACTTGATAACAAATCCAAGGAGAGAACCCAAGTTCTCCTCTTCCCCTATTCTTCAATGAAATGCATGAACCCATCACCTTGAGAGTGGGACAAGAAGAAGCCTTGTGTCCACCTGCCCCATACTCCATCTGTTTGGTCCACAAGCTCGGTCCCCACCCTATCAGGCCCATCCTCATATTGTCATGGGCTGGAGCAAGAGTACAAATGGAGGCCCACGTGACATACGTCTAAATGTGTAACAGATGTAAGTCAAGTTGACAAACTGCTGAGGAATATATGTTTCATCCTCCTGCCTTGGCAAGTGAACCTTCATAATGACCTGAAAGGCCAAGTTGAAATTCAGAACCCCTCAGAGTTCCTCAGTGAGCGTGACCCATGAGAGAGGGGATCCTGGAGCCTGAGGCTGCATCCCACTTCCCGCCACCCCTGGCTCTGTCCCACACTGCAAGCACCTTGTTAACATGCAGATAGACCCCTCTGGCCACATGTCCAAACTTCATCCACAGGCTGTTGTGACAGCAACCTCCCAAACCCCTTCAGAACTAGGGAGTGTGCAGGCTGTCAGCAGGATGGACTCTCAGGAAGTCAGACCCAGGAAGAGACCTGGGAGTGAAGTTGGGTTCAGGGCTGTTTGGGCAGGAATATGGGGTCCCAGGCACCTGAAGTCTAGAGGGGCATGGGCTCTGAGTGGATGTTGTCCCTCAGTCCTGCAGACTGAATGCCCTGCAGGAAGAGGTATAGCACGAAGGGGGCCAGAGCACAGCTCTACCGGAGCTGCCCATGTTCAAGGGCAGTGCTGTTCACTCTGCCCATCTGAACGCCACAAGGATTGTTTCAGGGAAGATGCCTGAAAAGAAACATCTGTGAAAATCAGATTGCAAATCCCTTTCCTGAACCATGAGCTTTTTAACTGAAACAGCCCTGCAGCCCCACTGCAGGAGGGTCAGCCCAGAGATTCATGAGCAGCTGCACTGGGATGGCTTCATGTGACACACTGAGGCATCAAGAAGGGCATGCCAAGGTGACCTGGGGAGCCTTCTTTCAGGCCTCCACTACCCCCATTTGGTAAATTCGGGAAGATTAGTAAAAATTGAAAGGAGACTCAAGGCTCACATTATCTCTGGATGGTTTGCTACATGTAAATAATCAGAACTTGATGGTAGAAAGCAGATTGTCCATTATCATTAGTATGATTTCAGCCTGCTTTATGGCTCCTCAGTGAGTTGAAAACATATTTTTAGATTTAATATCAAAACCTGTCAGAATTTCTTTTGTTAAAGCTAACAGAATGATACAGGTCAGATAAATTATTATAAGAAATTTCATTAAGGAAGTGCCATATGTGGCACTATAAAAAAGACAGAGCAGCACATATGGCTAGGAAGAAGGGATGGCACTGTGTCCCCTGCACGTGCATGACACCGTCACGCCCTTCAGCCCCTGTCACTGTGGCCATACTTGAATGGGAAACCCCTCCTCCATCTCCATCCCTGCCTTATGCTGTCCTCTCTCCCCCAAAACCTGTGTTCTGCTGGTGCCCCAACCCCGGAAACCTGACAACCAATTTAATTTTTGTCTGCAGAGGACTTGGATAACAGGACTTCTGATATCCCAGGGAATGGAAACTTTCAAACAGGAGACAAAGAAAATGGATAGACAATTAAACGCAGGGCCCCAAGTCAGATTGAATGCTCTCTCTCTCTCTCCTGCTTGGTATCAGGGGTTAAGAACACCAGTTCTGGTATCAGACTAGCTAGGTTTAGGTCTTGATAAATCAAATCTCACCTTGAATTGTAATCTTCATAATCCCCATAATCCCCACGTGTCAAAGAAGAGGCCAGGTGGAGGTAATTGAATCATCGGGGCGGTTTCCCCCATGCTGTTCTCGTGATAGAGTTCTCACGAGATCTGATGGCCTTACAAGGAGCTCTTTCCCCCTTCACTCGGCACATTTCCTTCCTGCCAGAAGGTGCCTTGCTTCTCCTTCACCTTCCACTATGATTGTAAGTTTCCTGAGGCCTCCCCAGCCATGCTGAACTGTGAGTCAATTAAACCTCTTTCCTTTATAAATTACCCCCATCTCAGGCAGTTCATTATAGCAGTATGAAAATGGACTAATACAGGTCTCTACAACTCCTTCATGTGACAGTGTGCAGGCTGCTTCATCTCAGTAAGTCTCACTTTTCTCATCTGTAGTATGGGGATAATAATATCCATTTCTTCAGGTGCCCGCTGGGAAAACTAAATGAGAAAATGCGTGTTAAAGCACTTAGCATGATGCCTGGCAAAGAGTAAAAGTTCAATCCATATTTATAATTGTCTTCATTTGTATGTCATTTACAGACAATAGCTTTGGTGGAAAAACATACAATTTAAGTTAGGAAATCTGTATCTACCACTGGCTGTAAGACTTTGGCTAGTCGGTTCACCTCTCTAGACCTTCATTTCCTCATCAACAAATTGGGGATAATCCTACCCATCTGGCAGAGTTGTTTCAAGATTCAGGGAGCTACTGAATGGGGAAAGTGCTTGCAAACTATAATGTGATACGCAAGCATAATTTAATGTAATCATCTCCAAGCTATCCCCGAGCCTCTGAAAATGCTGGACAGTTGCCATTTATATGACTTTCTTCCAAATATGGACTGTCCAGGCAGTCGAGTAATAACTAAAAGCATCCTAAGAGTCTAATGATACAAAGCATCAAAACAAGTCAGAAATGTAGAAGCCCCGACTCAAAAGGGTCTGAGATGTACAGCAGAGGCGTGTTCACAAAGGAGCTGCCTCGCTGATTGCACTTAATAGCTTAGCATCCTTCAAATAGGTTATATATATATATTTAAAGCCCAGAAATTGATATTCAGCAGCACAGCTTCCTTTCAGGCCTAGAGTCTATAATAGTTTTGTCCCTTGAAATCATAGCTCAAGAGATAAACCAGTCTGGGCCTCTGAGATGCACAATGGCAGCCATGCTTGGCTAGCCAGATGCGTTCGAGTTTTGCTGATGGAGGATCTGACCACTTGGCTCGGATCATGGAATTTTTCAACCTTCTGGTCCCAGCTCTTGGCTAACTATTATGCCCTCGGAAGGCCCTTCCAGCCTGGTCCTTCTCCAAGGGTAAGTGAGCTGATTACTTACATACAACTCCTCTCTTGGACTCTGAGGCTTGGAGGGTGTTGAGCATTTTATCTTGAATCTCTTACTTTATGAAATCCTCTAGGATATATAAAACAGGAAAATGGAAAGGGAGAATGAGTGTTGAAGAAAAATGAAAGAAAGGAGGAGAAAACAAATGTTCTCCCTGACTCTGCTTCACCTCTTCAGGTGAAGGAGGAGGAAGGGTGCTGTCAAAGTTGCACCAGAGCCAGTTCTGAGAGGGAAGCACTTTGGGGAAGTAGCAGCCTGCACAGCTCAGGGGAGCTGCTGACTCCTGGAGGAGGTGGCCCCTGCCAACGCAGACCCAGCCTTAGCTGGACACAGAAAGGGCAGGATCTTTGGCTCCTGTGGTATCAGAAAGAGGTGACAGACACATGCCTGGAGCAGATTAACCTCAGGCAAAATGGAGAGAGAGGCAGAGCTGAAGTGGGATTACAGACCTCCTCTGCTCTGGTCTTTACCTCAGTTTCCTCTTAGCTGTGGGAAAAAAAAAAACAACCCTCGTGTGTAATTTGAACATTTCTATTCATTGGGTGGTGACTAAGGCTCAGCAGCCCTGAGCCTCTTCCAGCCTCAATTGCTGTCTCTCCTCAAGTTCTCTTTCCCTCCCCACCTGCCTCGCGATGCACAGGTTCCTTCCTTTCTCCTTTCTTTCCTCAGTCCTCTTGCTGCTGTCTCCACTTTCTCCTGCCTCAGACTCTTTCATTCAAACCCTTCTTTCCTGTTCACCCTCCTTCCTGCTCCCCCTCCTTCCTGTTCCCCTCTCCTTCTTGTTCCCCCTCCTTCCTGTTTTCCCCTCCTTCCTGCTCCCCCGCCTTCCTGCTTCCCTTTCCTTCTTGTTCCCCCTCCTTCTGCTCCCCCTCGTTCCTGCTTCCCCCTCGTTCCTGCTTCCCTCCTCGCTCCTGCTTCCCCCCTCGTTCCTGCTTCCCCCTCGTTCCTGCTTCCCCCCTCCTTCCTGCTTCCCCCATCCTTCCTGCTTCCCCCTCCTTCCCGCTTCCCCCCTCCTTCCCGCTTCCCCCCTCCTTCCTGCTTCCCCCTCCTTCCTCGCTCCTGTCCCCTTCTCTCTCAGTTCCCCTCCTCCTCTGTCCTTTTGCTGTCCTAGTCTACCTTTCCTGTTCTTGTCCTACCGCTTCAAGATGCCCTGGTGGGGACTTTCTGATTTCTCTGTTTCTGGCTTCTAGAACTTTGAAGGTAATTAAAATCATATTCGTATATGTATCTGTCAAAAGTCCCCAATATTGGTGGGGAAAGAATTAGGCAGGGGAAATGGTGATTCATGTTTAAATAAGTAAAATAAGTATAATAAAACCACTTTATAGTAAATTTTCTAAGATTGCAGACTACTTTTTATATTTCTTGTGGTTTCCATAGAGCCTAGCATTGTGCCTAACACATAAAAAATGCTCAATAAGTATTTGTTGAATGAGTGCCTCAACCAATGAATGTATGAATATGGAAACAAAATGTGGTTTATTTCATTTAAGCACATATAGCCACAGTGTCAATTGAGCCAGAAAGCAGGGATGTATGTCTTTAAAGAATCTTGGAAATCCTTGATGGAATGTACCTATTCACTTATAATTAGCATAAGTATTATTAAAATGTTGCCCTCTTCAATGGGCTAACATTTTCCTTGTTTACATTACTAATTTTCTTGGCAAGCCTTCTTTCACAAATACAGGTCAATCCCAGCTACAAGTTCTGTACACAAAGCCGCTGACTCTGCTGGTGTCCCGTGTTGACACTGGATTACTTTACCCATCTCCTCTGCACCTAACTGGTTCATCTGCAGGATTCATCTAACTCATCCTTTCACAAATGTTTCTCTTATGCTTCTTTGTGCTAATCTTTATGCTGAGTACTTCACATATATCATCTCATTTAATTCATACAACCTCTGAGGAAGGCATATTATTATCCTTACTTTTCAGATGAGGAGCCTGAAGCTAAAATTGATCAAGTATCTTCACCAGTTTTCCCAGTTTGCCTACCACAAAAGTAGTTCCTGGCATGCAGGCCTTGTGGTTTTCAAACGAGGACGGTCCCAGGCAAGCTGTCCCAGTTTGACTGGGACCGGGGAATTTCCCAAGACATGGGACTTTCAGTGCTAAAGCTGGGAATGCCCTAATGCACACTGGAAGAGTTGCTCACCCTACTCTAGTCATGTGCCCAGGGCCATTAGAGTCAGGATTCAAAACTATGTCATCTGATTTCAAGGATCTACTTTTAAATAGCCTGCCCTGCCCAGCCGACCACTAGTCCTACATTTCTAGCTGCTTCAGAGACATCCCACAGTTACCTCACACCCCAAATACCACCCTCTAAAACATCTCTCTTCCCTTTAAGCAAACTGTGCTACTCTGTTAAGTAACATCTAAAGGTATCCTTATAATCACTTCCAAATTTCTCAAATCCTTCCCTCCTTTGCTTTTCCCTTTACTAGCACCCTGGTCCAGGTCTTCAGCGCCTGAATTCCCACAACCAAATTGTTTCTCTGCCTCCAAGTGTCCACCCTGCACATCATCCTCAGATTTATTCCTTAAGAGGGTAGACATGAAAGAGAATTCACAGTCCAGCCTTGTATCTGACATGTTAAAAAGCTAAGGCAAAGAGAATTCAATAGCGCCTCCAAAGCTGCATCAGGGCAGAGCCCAGTATAGCACCCACATCATCCTCACCCACAGGCCCGTGTACTTTCCAAAGCACCTACCCTTGCCTCTCCTGTGTTTCCCTTTGGCCACAGAGCAAGTCCAAATTCTGCATCTGAAAACATTTCAGCCTCCTGGTCCTACCTACAATTCTACCAAGTACCCTCTCTGCTCTGCTAAGTTTGTCTGGCCTTTGCAGCTGCAAACCTCTGGACCACCTCTGCATCTTCTCTTCTGTTTTTGCCCACCTACTTTCCCTCCATCACTGAGGAGGTTTTTAGTGAGCACCTATTATGGACAAAGCCTCTCTCTAGTGAAAACACAGAAGAAGACACAGTCCCCAAAACAAACAGCTTTCACTCTGGCTCAGGTTTCACTTCCTCATGACCCCTCCCCCAACCCCTTTCCTCATAACTTTCCAGAATACACATTTTCGGTACCAAGACTTTTGGCATTTAAGCTATTGAATCCAATTTTTTATCTGTTCCATGTAGGTGGGTCTCAATTTCTTAATAAGACTGTCAGGTCTTGGATATAGTGATACTGGAGAGCCTTTCTTCCTGCTCCCCACAAGACATCTGACCTTGTGATGGGTGTATAATCACTGCTTGACAATTTCTTGTTGAGCTGAATTAAATTGGTCACAACAGATTCTCTACTACAAACCATCCTATGCAACATTTTTTTTCTCTGATTCCAGTGTACATAGCAGTCATTCTGCCAAAGAAAAACTTGACTGCATATTCTTTTCATTGCAGTCTAGAAGGGCAAGAGCTGACATCAAATTGACCCACTTACATTTCTTTTTCCACTACTAGGGAGGAACCCACCTCCTTCCGTGCTCTTCCTCCTCCCCCAGACATCTCAAAGAACCTAATCACCATCTTCTGAATCCTCCCTGTCACCTTCCGCCCCCTCAGCCAAATGCACATACCACCTCAAATACTGAACCGCAACTCAGATTTTTAAAGTTCAAGAATGAAGAAGAAGAACCAATTGACTCATTTTTCCTTGATTCAAAGTGCTGTGGGTTTTCTAAAGCAGCCCCGACACCCCTTATGTGGGCCTATTTCTGCAGCCAGGGCAGACCAAGGGGCTCCTACTTCCCTAGCCAGATTGAACAATGAACCATAAATTACACAGCCTTGATGTGTGACCTTGGGCAAATAAGTCGCTTCACTGCTCTGGGCTTAGGATTCCTCAGCTACAAAGGGAGGCGCTTCTCTGTGGGCTGTCTGAGGACCCCTCCACTGGCACATTCTATGACTCTGATTTCTTTCTCACTCCTAGATTCCCTCCACAGAGCAACCTGCTCCAAGAACAACTCCAGGCCCAGTAAATCTTCCCTTGCCAACACAGCTCTACCGCTGCCAGTGCAAAAGGTGGAAAGATGATTTCTTTTCTTTGTTTTGTTTTGTTTTTAATAAGTTTCATGCTGAGAAAAGCTCATGAAAACTGCTAGTTCACCCAGGATGGAAAGACACCCCCAGTAGAAGGGCAAACAGAGCTCAGGGGCTCTTAGTTGCCCTATGGAGGCAAAGTGACTCTAAAAGCTTTGTCAGTTTGATTTCAGTGGCTCATAGGATTCTTTGAGCCATTTGCCCTCTCAAAATAGACAGTAAGTAGACAATGAGTAGGTCCTCAGAAAAGCCACTCCTAGTTTTGGTATTTTGTGGATTCTTTATTTGGATGACACACAGGGCATCAGTTCCTATTGGCCTTTTCTTGAATAACTTGCTTACAAAGGAGAAGGAAATGCTGCTTAAACCACAATTGCCTTCCATGGAGAGCAGCTCTTCATAAATAAGAAACCCTTTGAATCTGCTGCGTACCTTGATGAGTTTGGATATGCAAAATGGACCCAGAGCAAGATGTGGAAAGAAAGGCAGGGAAGAGTTGAATTGCTCCGCATAACTAAAAAGAAAAATTGGAATTTGTCAGGAGAACCCAGGAAGGATGAGGATGAGAAAAAAGAGAGAAGGCTGGAGAGAAGAACCAGCAATTTGAATGAGGCTGAGGCTCTATGTGGGGTGCAATGGCCAGTGAAAAATCTCAGGGATGGGAAGGCAGAACTTGGATGACTATTTTCATATGTGGCTGTGTGCTGTTGCAATAAGACCGTCTCCATCCTCCTCTTAAGTCTACTCTAAAATCTTCTCTGCAAACTTTCATGAATAAGTGGGGATTTTTGTTTGTGTTGGTGAACTCAGGGAAGAGGCTCAATTTCAGGTATGAGTCAACATGGATTAGAACAACAGAAAGCATAGAGCCACAAATTTAAAAAGCAGGAGTTAGAAGCCAGGAGTGATTACAAGACAGTAATCCCCAAGGAATTTGGAGAAATTGTGAGATGCTCACAGTGTATTGAGTTGGTGGTTCAAGCTTATGTTTTCTAAATACCAAATGGGAAAGAAATTTGGAATTTGTTGGAAGAATCCAGGAAGGATGAGGATGAGAAAAAGAGAGAATAATGAAGAGAAGAACCAGCAATTTGGATGAGGCTGGGGCTCTATGTGGGGTGCAATGGCCATGCACATGTGTGTGAATGCACACACACACACACACGAGTGGAAAAAAAAATCTTGAAGAAAAGGCCGAGGGAGAATATTTGACCAGCCCAGGTACAGGGGAAACCTCACTAAAAATGAGCTGCTGCTCCCTGGAATCTGAGGGCTCTTCTCTAAAGATAGAGCAGATAGAGCCTTGGGCAGATAGAGCCTTGGTTCCTGGCTAGGCAACGAAAAGGCAGCATCAAGAGAAGAGGCAGCTGCTGGCTGCAAAGGAGTGTGGATATGCAGGCCAAGCGCTGTCCACAGTGAAGGAAGTTAACCAGGAGATTGTGATCAGATGAGGTATGAATTTCTCTTGATGGTTCTGTGTTTTATATAGAATATTTGGAAATGTCTAAAAATCATAGCACCTCAAAGTTGGAAGACAGCTTCCCCCCTATAAACAGTCACTGTTAAAGCTATTAAAGAGTGTGAATGTACATTAGGAAAAACTGAACCAAGAAAGAGACCCGGGAGGGTTTGATGGTGGGAAGAACCAAATTCCTGCCAACCAGAATAGAATCCCAGAGAAAAATGGATGCTAGCCAGAGAAATAGCCCCTTCCATAGATTGTTATCTAGGGAGAAACAGAGGGAATGAGGAGGAGTCCAGCACAGCCTCAGACAGACATATCTGGGCTCTAAAGCACCTCCCTTTCTATGTTTTATGTCTTTAGTTTCATTCATTTTTTCGCATATATTTACTGAACATTCAGTACAAGCCAGGTACTTTTCTTGATGTTAGGGAGACAGAGATAAAATAATCAGATAAGGCTTTGTTCTCTTGCATTTAACACAGGCAATAAACAAGAGGGAAGAACATGAATGAATAGGATTTAGATGCCACTAAGTATCCTATGAGTAAAATAAAGCCGACACTTGTCACGAACAGTGACTTGGGACAGGGCCTGCTTTAGGAAGAGTGGTCAAGGAAGGCCTCTCTGAGGAAGGCTCCTCTGAGTTGCAATAGAAGCAATGAGAAGGAATCAGCCTTAAGAAGACGTTGGAGAAAGGCATCCTGAGCAGAGGGGAGGAAATGCAAAGGCCCTAGGAGGGCAGGGGGCAGGCAGGTGGGGTGGAGCTGGAGAAGCGCATCTGGAGTAGAGGCTGAGAACAAAGCCCAGGGGCAGGTCCTGCAGGTCCCTGAAAGCCATGATGAAGCCAATCAAAGTGGGCAGCCATCTGGTGCACCGTGGCGGAGAGGAGTTTCCTTCCTGCACTGGAGGAGGCCACTTCTCCGAGAAGAGATGCATGGAGTGAGCTCTGCACCCACACAGGAGACTCCAGGAGTGGTGCTTACAGCGAAGAGCCACCAGATGGCTCCATGAAGAGATGGCCCACTTTGCTTTCTCCTGCCATTGCTGACGCTTTTCCTGTTGTAAGGTAGAAGCACTTTTTCCCATTGAACGAAAGCTTCTTCAACAATCAGCCACTTTCCTTTCCTTTTTTTTTTTTCAAACAAAATGAACCAATAGCAGCCAGTAAGTACAACAGGGCAGGCCAAATAGAAACCATCTTTGCCATCCTGACAGCTAAAATAAACAACTCCTCCTAACCAGGGGGCTTCCTCTGGGCTCCATTCCTAAGCTCCCCTTTTCTCAAAGTGCTGTGCTCAGTCCAACAGGCTGGATCACCCTCCTTTCCAGAAAGTCAATCCTAGGAAAAAGGAATGCCTAGCCCAGGCCACAGGCCAAACTTTAACTCTCCAAGTAGATTACCCAGGAAGTAATAACATCTGAGCACTTAAACAACTCACTGTGACAGTGTGCATGAGAACATGGGGCTGGGAGAGCAAGAGGAGCTTCAGAATAAAAAGGCAGACAGGATGGTGGCTACTTTCACAAAGGTTTTCTTGCAATAGTATGTATTAGTAAATCAAGTCAAGAATCGCTCCAGACTGTCCAACGCCCACCAGCCCTGGAAACTGTTGTTTGGTGTGAAAGAAGGAGCTTCAGAGAGCAGCACACAGCTGGCATCAAGAAGCAAAGGTCTGCAGGACTTGTCAGTGAGTCTAATGAACTCATCAAGGAGCCACAGGGCCCAAGGCTTTTCAGGACACTCTGAAGAGTCAACAGGGAAAAAAAATAGCCCATCTTTAAGGAGCCTGCAATCAAATGTTGGTCATGAGAACTCTTGCCCAATGGAATTTTTTCCTTCTTTTTCATCTGTTGGAATTAGTCTCTCCCTCCCCTGAGCTCCCACAGTACTTGGTCCATATTGTAGTTATACCCAGACCTGTGTCCCTCAGTAGATGGAGAGCTCCCTGAGCCCAGGCCTACCTGTCATCCACATTTGTGTCCTCTCACCCACTCAGGACCTCCCATAGAGCCTGGTGCCTGGCTGGCCCTTCACAAATGCTCATTGAACTAAATTTTGATGTGGAAACAGGAAGCCCAACCACAGGGCCCAGGGGAGAGTCTGTGAAGTGAGTGAAGCGTTGAGTTACATTGGATCTGAAAAGTACTCTTCTTAGCACTGACAAGGCCTAGCACATGGTCAGCCCTTAATAATGGTGTTTTGTTGTCTTTTTTTCCTCCTATGAGGTAGGATTTAAGAAGCTTAAAAAAATTTTTTTTGAAGTTCTCTTTTCCCTCAAATCCCTCCCCTCTCCCTGACATTATGCCTATAATCTCTAAATGAGTCAAACTAGTGAGATAGGGCAGTGAAGGGACCTATGTTAAATGAAATCTGGGACGGCAACTTGTGTGGATATTATTATCCCCTTATGGAAAATGAGGAAAACGAAGCTCAGAGAGGCTAAGTAACTTGGCTACTGTCACACAGTTTGCAAGTTGCTAAGCCAGGATTTAATTCTAAACCTGACTTCACGATAGTCCTGCTGCCGCTGCGTTAGGCCAACCTTGCATGGTGGCATGGAACCAGAGCAGAGCTTCCTAAAGTGGGCGTCTGTAGGGGGATCATGGATTCTCTCCAAAATGCACATCTCAAGGTTTCACCCTTACCTACTTAAGTCAGAAGAAAGATCTGGGAGAGAGAATTGCATGTTTCTTTTCTTTTCTTTCTTTCTTTTTTCTTTTTTTTTTTGTTTTGAGACAGAATCTCACTCTGTCGCTCAGGCTGGAGTGTGGTGACGTGATCTCGGCTCACTGCAGCCTCCGCATCCCAGGTTCAAGCAGTTCTCATGCCTCAGCCTCCCAAGTAGCTGGGACTATAGACATGCACCACCACGCCTGACTGATTTTTTTATATTTGTAGTAGAGATGGGGTTTCACCATGTTGACCAGACTGGTCTCGAACTCCTGAGCTCAAGAGATCAACCCGCCCCGGACTCCCAAAGTGCTTTGATTACAGTTGTGAGCCACCACACCCAGCCAGGATTGCATTTTGATAAGCTCCCCAGGTGGATTCTTATCCCCATGTTTGAGAACCACTGATCGTGGGACAAGAATTAAAAGTCTTTGGCTCCTTTCTCCTATAAGAATGGCCATAATCAAAAAATAGAAAAATAATAGATGTTGGCATGGATGTGGTGAACAGGGAACACACCTACACTGCTGGTGGGAAGGTAAACTAGTACAATGACTATAGAAAACAGTGTGGAGATGCCTTAAAAAACTGAAAGTAGAACTACCATTTGATCTAGCAATCCCACTACTGGGTATCTACCCAGTGGAAAAGACGTCATTATACAAAAAAGACACTTGCACACGCATGTTTATGGCAACACAATTCACAATTGCAAAAACATGAAACAAATCCAAATGCCCTTCAATCCATGAGTGGATAAAGAAACTGTGGTGTGAGTAGTATGATGGAATACTACTCATCCATAAAAAAGAATGAATTAACGGCATTCGCAGGACCTGGATGAGATTGGAGACTATTATTCTAAGTGAAGTCACTCAGGAATGGAAGACCAAACATCGTTATGTTCTCACTCATAAGTGGGAGCTAAGCTATGAAGATGCAAAGGCGTGAGAATGACACAATGGACTTTGGGGACTCTCGTGGGAAAGGGTGGGAAGGGGGTGAGGGATAAAAGACTATAAATTGTGTGCAGTGTATACTGCTCGGGTGATGGATGCACCAAAATCTCATAAATCACCACTAAAGAACTTACTCATGTAACCAAACAGCACTTGTTCCCCAATAACCTATGGAAATAAAAAAATTTTTTTTTAAATATCTTGCTGTGGAAGTGGCCAGTAGTGAACTCCAGTGGATCCTCCTCCAAGAGTCAAGAGAACAATTTTAGGAAGCTGTGCTCCGGGTCAGAAGGACAAACACTCCCTTCACCTTTGGACATCAAAACTAAAACTTAGTCTTTACATCAAGGGTAACACTATGGCCAGTCAGTAAAGCATGAGGTTCAAGGCTGCAGTTCTGCTTTTTTCAGCCTCTGCGTCTTTTTTCAGTCTTGTTGTGACTAGAACTTAGAGACCTTTCTATAAGAAAGGGCAATGATAAATGAATGAATATATATATGGTGGGGAAGGAGAGAATGATACTGTTAAATATATGTAACAAATATTTAATATATGATATACAGTGTGTGTATTTAACAATATTGTTTTCAATGCTCTGTTCTCCAACTCTCCCTGACACAGGTACACACACACACACTTAAAGGATATATATGTCATGATTTACTTCTTTTTGACAATTCCCATTGGGGCAAATTAAAGGTGAAGAAGTAACCCTGAAACTTGAAGCTATATGATGACTTTTCTATCTGCCTGACCAAAAAGTAAATAAATAAACCAAGAAAGTCCCTTGGTTAGTTGCTTTCCATGATGAGTAGGAAGAGAGGGCTGCTGTGCTAGTCCATCATCTTCTCATGAAAGGTCACTGGTGTCGTTTCTCCAGTAACTTCTGGAAAGATGAGCAAGCATACCAGAGAGGTCCTCTAAACACAGCACACAAACCTTCACTTTTGGAGGAAGGTTCGTCTTTCCCCTGCTTTGCTGGCAGTACATGGTGTTTCAGCAAGACTGCCACCCCAAAAAGGCTTGTATGGTGAGTTTAAGAACCATGACGGGCTAAATCTTCCTATGGCACTGCTCTGATTATGTATCTCACCAGCCATGACCCCTTTAAAGGGCTCCCAGTTGCCTACTTATTTGGTTAAAATCCACTAGCAAGTTAGACCCTTCTCACCTCTAACTGCTCCTTTGGAAAACATTCCAGGATTCCCTCACACCAAGTAGCCTCCCCCATAACATGTTCCTATGGCACTCTCAACTTCCCACCCTTCACACCCTCATGATTTCTTAAGTATTTGTTTAATGTCACCAGAGCTAGACTGCTCAACCCTGTGTTGGTGGGGACCAGGTCTTTTTGTTCACATATCCAGAACAGTGGCTGACACTGAGTAAGTCCTCAAATATTTGTGACTCACCCAGTGACTGACCAACTTACTTACTATTCTGGTCCTAACTTAACCTTTTCAGCTTCCTCTCCTGATTCTCCCATACATACACCTATGTTCCATCCAAATCTACCATTCCCTAACAACTGTCTTTACTTTTCCTCCTCTGTAACTGTTCATGCTCTTCCTTCTTCTTGGATAATGGACATTATTTTCATCCCAAATAAGGACAACCAAAAACTGAGAAGACAGAAGAAATTTTTTATTGATGTATAATTTCACATACCATAAAATCCACCTGTAGTTTTTAGTATATTCACAAGTTTGAGCAGCCATCACCATTATCTAATTCCAGAATATTTTCATCACCCCAAAAAGAAGCTCTGTACCCATTAGCTATTGTTCCCAACTCCTCTCCTCCCCCAGCTCCTGACAACCACTAATCTACTTTTTGTCTCTATGGATTTACCTATTCTAGATATTTAATTTAAATGGGATTATATAATATGTTGCCATTTATGTCTGGCTTTTTTCACTTAGCATGATATTTTCAAGGCTCACCCATGTTGTAGCATGTATCAGTACTTCATTCCTCTTTATGGCTAAATAATATTCCATATGTGTTGATATGCCACATTTTATTTATTCATTCATCAATTAGTGGACATTTAGGTTGTTTCTATTTCTGGTTATTATGAATGATGCTGCTATAAATATTTGCATATAATTATTTGTGTAAACATGTGTTTTCAATTATCTTGGTTATATACCTAAAAACAAAATTTCTGGGTCATAGGTAACTCTATATTTAACTTTTTGAAAAACTGCCAAATTGTTTTTCTAAAGTAGCTGTACCATTTTTACCTCTCTACCTGCAATGTAAGAGGATTTCAGTTTCTCTACATCCTTGCCAACACATGATATTATCTGATGATGATGATGATCATGATGACAATTGCCATTCTAGTGAATGTGAAGTAGTATCTCATTGTGGTTTTCATTTGTATTTTTCTGATGGCTAATGATGTTGAGCATATTTTCATGTGCTTATTGGCCTGTTTTATATTTTGTTTGGATACATGTTTATTCAAATCCTTTGCCTATTTTTAACTGTATTTTTTTATTGTTGAATTGTAAAAGTTCTTTACATATTCTAGATTCTTATCAGACATATAATTTATAAATATTTTCTACCATTCTATGGGTTGTCTGTTTGCTTTCTTGATAGTGTCCCTGAAACACAAAAGTTGAATTTTTGATGACGTTCAGTTTATTCTTTGGTTGCTTGGGCTTCAGGTGCCATATCTAAGAAATCATTGGCCAAACTAAGGTCACAAAAATTATGTCTTTGAGGATGTTGCCTTCTAAGAGTTTTATAGTTTTAGCTATTACAGTTAGGTCTTTGACCAATTTTATGTTAACTTTTGTATTTAGTGAGAGTCAGAGGGTCCAGATGGATACTTTTGCATGTGGATATCCACTTATCTCACCACACTTGTGGAAAGATTATTCTTTCCCCATTGAATATCTTGGAAAGAAGAAACATTTTTAAGACAATCTTGACCAAACAGTCTGGCCCTGATTAAAAAAAATAATAATAAAACAGCCACCACAGTCTGAGGTATGACAGTCAAGACTGCAGAGATTGGCTGGAATATTTTGTTCCTACCTACGATGTGAAAATTCCATGAGAAGCATCTCAGCCCACCTCTCCTATATATATATTAGTAGGTTTTAACCTTGTTTAGAGTAACTTATCCAATGAGATTGTGGGCTTTTTAATATACATAGTAATATTCTGCTTAAAATGTTAAAAAGTTCACAGACACCCTCAAACAAAAATCCTATCCACAGATCTTTGGTTAAGAATCCCTGCTCTACTCTCCTTCCCACAGAGTTCTACCATTGCCAAGGCTGAAGCGACACCCCTCAGTGCAGCTGACTCACTTTGTGTTCTATTTATTTGTTTGTGTGTAGCCCTGATCTCTCCTTTAAGCTCCACAGTGCCACCTAACTCCTAGATATGTGTACCTTGTGCCCAGGCATCTCCAGCTCAACACATTCAGCTCATCATCTTCCCTCCCCCCACCCAGCTCATACCCCCACTTCCCTTTTTCTGGTCACAGTGCTGTTCTTCCCATCACGCAGGCTCAAATCTCAAAGTCATCTTCACTTCTTCTTCCTCTCACCACCCCTCCCCCAACAGCTAATTCAGTCTCCAGGTTTATATAGTTGTTCCTTTAGCCTAACCACCTGTCAGTACCCTGCCTAGTCCAAGCTCCTATTCTGAGGCCTGGGCTGATGCAACAGATGTCTCTGGCCTTGCTCATTTCTTGCCTTTGGGTTCTATACTTTCTAATTTATTTGAGTGCCAGACTTAACAGGTGAAAGGATAGTTCTGAGCATTTCCCTCTCTGGCTCAGAAAATCTTAATGGCTTGTCGTGGTCCTCTAAATGCAGTGCAAACCCAACTGGTCAGAAGTCCAAGAGCTTCCATTCTCTGACTGCAGCCAACCACCTGGCTTCATCTCCCGACTCTCCCCAGACTCCATGTCCCAGCCAGTAGTGGCACCAGTGACATTATTTGCACCATCATGCCACTTACCTTCACTCACTGCCCTGCCACCATTCTTGGCAAGCTAACCCTGCTGTGCCTTCAAGCCCAGCCCACTGTGATTGCCTCTATGAGGACTTTCCTGATTGCTGCAGGAGGACTCACTCATCTCTCATAGTAATTTACTTATTTTTATGTGACTTTTGCCATTATTGTGCATCTGACACCTCTCTTAGCACACAGCAAAATGCCTTGAGCAAAATGCTTCCTTAATGAATATTGGTCACATTCAGCAGTGATTCTCATAAGGGAATGTGAATCAGAATCACTTGGGGAACTTTTCAAAATACCCCACTTTGGGACCCAGACCTCAATATTTGAAAAGTTTCCACTGATGATTCTGATGTGCATCACTAATTTGACTACTTGTCAAATTAACAAATGATGGTAAAAAATATACTGAACATCTACTATGGGCCAGGCACTGCATATGCATTATCTCATTTAATCCTCACAGAAACTCTGGGGTGGGGTGGGGGAGGTGGTATTATTATTTGTCCATTCTTCAGATGACGAAACTTGCGCTTAAAGAAACTAAATGCTTTGCCTTAGGTGGGTCATGTATAAATAAATGAAGTAAGTGAAATGAAGGTCTCTAAAGGTCACTTACAATCTATTTGAGAAATTTAACAGTAATTTCCCAAGAAAATCTATGTTCAGATTTAATAATTTTGAGCTGGTTTCTCATTTTCTTAGCTTTGTGACCTTAGACAAATTACTTGCCCTATCTGAGCATGTTTCCTCTTCTGCGGAATGAGCATTATACCTACTATTATTGTAAGGTAGAAGGAAGGATTCAGTGAGTTACAATATGTAAAGTACTAAGTGCCTACACACAGTAAACGCTCAATAGGTTAAGCTATAACTATCATTATAACTATTTTTATTCCAAAATATGCACCAACCCAAGGTATTTCTTCTTAGCTGCAGTCAGCAATGGGGGCTGAGGGTCAGGAGGACTTAAGTAGGTCACTCGCAAGGCTGACTCTCAGTGTTCAGAGCCGGTCTTATAGGTGGGGCAGAATTAATAAATAGATTTTTACTGAGGATTTCTAGGTGTCAGGCATTGGATAAAGAGGTGAATAGAGATAGGGTCCCTACCCTCAGAGAGATTACAATTTTTTGATACTGAGACAAGGGCCACTCCACCCATGGGGGAGTTTGCCCATTGGCTTGGAGGCCTGTAGGTTCTTGGGGAACCACCTGTGTCAAGACTGTTTCCCTCTGAACTTAGGAGTGTCCCATTTCCACTGCGTAACATTCCCCTCCAAGACAGCAAGGGCAGCAAGAAACACAGAGAGACTTTGGGGTTTCATTACTTCTACCACTGCCTGGAATCTCGTAGCTTTCAAACTTCCCTTTGACATTAACCAAACATGGTCTAGTTCTGCTTTCTCTCCTTCCTAAATGCACTCTAGGGTGGGGAAAGGGGGTGATCTTAAATGACTGCAATGTGTTCTTCTGCAGCAAGAACACAGGCATATGAAATATTTCAGTTATTGCAGCCTGCATTGGACTACAAGTGTTATTTTAACTCTTGAAATTGCACAGCGTTTTTTGGATTAGCAGTGTTCTTTCACATACACCCAGTGAGGTAGACATTATTACTCTCTGTATAGAAATTAAGAAACTGAGTCTCAAAGAGTTTTTGTAACTTACCCAATGCCACAGCTAATGAACCTATTTGACATGAAACTTTTGGGGAGGTTCTTTTAAAGGGAAAAGAGTGTGGGTGGAGGTTGAAAAGGGAATCTTTTGCCTCCCCTCTTTTTCCCATTTCTTGCCTAAAATTCAGACATTATGGCTATCGTGCAAGCAGCACCATATTGTGACTTTAAACTTGAAAGCAATGCAAAAAGCATGGCAAACCTCCCTTTTTGAAAAACGAATGAAGGCTAGGCCGCTGATGCCTTCTTGCAACACCAGACCAGCCCTGAACAGAGTACATTTGGCTTTTTTTTTTTAATGTGTTTAAGATACTATAGGTGAGCCTCTATTTCTAGTAGCTATAAGCACTTCTTAGCTGCTACACAGGATAATCTACAATTGCATAAAACTGTTAACAATCACCAATAGGGACATGATTTAGCAAATAATGTCACATCATTATTAACTGTCCCTGAGAGCCACTCATTCTCCATTTCTAAGAGGGACCTATATTATCCCCTCCTACATAAACCATTAAAGGAATAATTATTAAAAAAGTAGATGCACATTCTCAGGTCCATGATATACCTAATGGAATACGCTCTATGATTAAAATAATGAAAAAAGTCTGTATGAGAAGGAAAACAATAAAATCTAATATATAAAAATAAAACAGAAATTTAAGCTGGCAGAGTCATGATTTTTTTATTCTATTTTCAAAATTATCTTTAATATTGTTGCTTTATCCTTCAAATTAAAGTATTAAAGAATTTTTAAAATGCTGAGTTCTTTAAATCAGTGCTATTTACTTGCTAATAAACATATTCAGTTTTGCCGAGGAGACATAGAATATATAGCTATCTAGTATATGAAGCCATCTCTCCTGATGATGACTAGTATTTGAGTAATAGAAGGAATTATAATCCACATTCACATTCTTAAAACCAAACTGGGGAAGCAAAGACAACTCCTTGAATTTGGTAAATTCCTGGGGTCATCTGAAGAGAGCATCCTGGGGTATCGGGAAAGTTCCTTAGGCCAGTGTGACCAACCCAGGTGGCATGATCACACACAAGAGAGGACTCCCCAGCCCACAGCTCTCCTGCTTCTTCAACCTGCAGCACACAGGAAATAGGATTCATTCTCCAGTGTCTGTCCTTTCTTTCCAATTTTTTATTTCCCTTTAGTATAAGAGGCCATTGGGGACAATCAGGTTTCTCTGGACCCACTCTTTTGATTCAATGCTGTTTCCAATTTCCTAAGACAACATTGCACTGGACCCTTGCCTCCTTTCTGAATTCATTGTTTTATGCCGTACTGCTTCTCGTGGGGTTTCCCCATAACTCTTGTTTCTGTATAAAGTTGCAGGTGAGTATAAGTCGGGGGGGAAATCCATAGCATTTGAGAAAAACAAGCATACATGAGCATCTGAGTAGGAGAGGGTGGTGGTGGGTGGGACAGAGGGAAAGATAACAAACATATCCTTGCAGAGCCTATGGTGTGGGCCATGAACCGTCCTCTCCCCAAGCCTTTACTTATATTCCCAGGCCAACTCCTTTAAAAGATGGGTCACAGCATTATTGTCTCTAATGTACAAAGAATTAGTTGTGGCTCCTAGAGTTAACTAACTAGTCAAATTTACACCAGGAGAAGTGGCTGGGAAAACAAGGTGGGCTCAGATATGTTTCACTCCAAATTCATGGTCTTCCCATCACACCTGCAATGGATTCACCAACACACAGAGGATAGTGAAAGTCTCAGTTTATTTTCTAGTTAGATTACTAACTTTGTTTACATGAGGCAACGCACTGTCATCAAGAAAAAAGAAGACAACAAAGAAGAGAACTGTTTTGCAATAGCAGGCAGCACAGCGCAGGAGCTCTCAGACTACCTCAGATGCCAAGAGCCTGGTTTGAATACAAGCCTTGCCATTGTGTGACTTTGGGTAAGTTTCTTAACCTTTCTGTGCCTTGGGTTCTTCATCTGTAAAATGGGAATGAAAATTTTACCACCCATAGGGCTGTTATGAGACTCAAATAAGGAGGTAGTGAGAACACACTTAAAGCAGTACCTTCTGCAGAAGTCTAGTTCTGAGACATCTGAAAGAAGCAAGGAGGAGCAACTGGGAAAATGGGGTGATTCTGTAGACCAAAAGGTTGAGGAGTGTTGCACCTTTCTTACTCTTAGGTATTTACAATACACTGTAACAAATTAAATTCAAATTCCTACTTTACATAATAGAATTTATTTTGTGTAATTTTCTCTTTCTCCAAACTTATTTGAGGGTAGCAACCCACTTCACCTAACACTTCTGAATGTCCTTTAGTGTAGGGGGTATCTGGCACTCAGGAACCCCTTCTTCCCTCACATGAACCCTGGGGAGCAACCAAGGGGGACTTCAGAAGGCTCCAATCCTACTACATATTTTTGCTCAATGTTTCTCAAAAGTCTAGTGGATTTTTTCCATTGGTGATTTGCATGCAGGTCCCATGATTACACTTTGAAGTTGATGAGTAATATTTAGGAGTAGAAGTCTTTCCACTTCTAGTTCCTCACATTAGTAGGTTATGTGGGCAAGTTAATTAACCTAGCTGGTTCAAGTCTTGCTTTCCACTAGAAAGAGATCTATGCATAAAATTAATAATTACTACATCCTTTCAAATACAAGCCAATTGCACTTTACTAGAAAAAAATCATACCCAAGCCCTGCTCCAAAAAGTCATGAGAATAATTAACAAAGCCAACAGTAAGACATATTTACTCACAATTAGAAACTGAAGGACTGAATAAGTCATTCTGCCTGCATGGTTATATATTTTCCCACCGATCTGTGAATCTGTGAAATATAGCGGTCCAAGAGGGTTTAGCTAAAACCAGGAGACTGGATGTTAAGGTCGTGTGTGACACAGGCACATGTGAAAGATGGCCATGTCTGGAAGAGAACATAATTTCTACTTTACCTAGGGCAGAGTGCTCACAAGAAAATACAACGTGATTAACCAGGAAAGATTGAACCAGGCCTGACCCTTCTGAGGCAGATTTCATGGAATGGTATATATATATATTTTTAATAGAGATTGCCAATATTTTGTCTTGCCAAATAAAAATTAAAATAAGGAAAAGTTACTATCCACTATCACCACATTTCAGTAAAGAAAAGAGACATTTTACCAACATAAAAATAAAACAGACTTAATTTTGGAATAAAAGACTGTTCTTAAAATTGAATAAATGTAGTGATGTGAAAAACCTCACTGCCTTGCCCTTTCTTTTTCATTTCCTCATGCATCAGTGAAAATGCTATCCAATACTGGCGCCACTCCAAGGAATAGTATATGGGAATGACTGCTTTAGCAAGGTGTCTCCTTCTGGCTCCTTCTTGTGACCTGGGGCAAATTACTCTGAGGTTCAGTTATCATCCATGAAATGGAAATAATGTGTGCTTTCCTGGCCTACCTTACAGGACTGTGGTCAAATGAGACACGGGACAGGGTAACATACACAATATGACTCTAGAAAAGGTGAAGAATCATACAACGGCCCAGGACTATTATTTTATCTCCACTTAAGTTATACACTTATTCCCAAATTCCTGGGATTAGATGATTTCATGATAAAATTGTTTCAGAGAAACAGCGAATGCCAGATGCTCACACATTTTCCCTGTTAAGAAAATAAAATATAAATTGATAGTTTATCATGTAGAATAGGAAGTTGGATCTACATTTAAGGATCACCATTAGAAACTCGTTCAGTACTGACAGATATTTGATCCAGTTCATCCTTTGGTTCTGGGCAGATGCCACCTAAACCAAGTCACACAAGTGGGAGTCTTTGCCATTTTTAAAGATTCCAAAAGAAATTTTACAGACTTAAGACTCAGTGTCTCATAGACAACATGTTTCATTTATCTCTGTAACCACAGTACTAGAAACAATACTGGAAACAAAATAGAGGCTCAATGAATACTGAAGAAATGAATAAACCAAGGATCTGGTCTCTGGCAAACCATTTTTCAGTTTATTGCCTTACTGAAATCATCAGTAAACTGGGAAGAAAACTATCCTAAGTCCTGGAGAAGTTACAAATATTTAATTTTTATTATATATATGATGGGAATATAAACTGGTATAGTACAGCCACTTTGGAAAAAACAGTTTGACAGTTCCTCAAAATGTTAAACAAAACAAAACAAAACAAAAAACATAGAATTATCAAATAACTCAGCAGTTTCAATACTAGGTATATACCTAGAGAATTGAAAACATATGTTCACGTAAAAACGTGTACCCAAATGTTCATAGCAGCATTATTCATAATAGCCAAAAAGTGGAAATAACTCAATTGTCCATCTAGTGATGAATGGATAAACAATATGTAGTATATTCTTACAGTGGAATATTACTTGGCAATGAAAAGGAATGAAATACAATTACCTGCTACATAGATGAACCTTGAAAACATGCTAAGTGAAAGAAGCCAGACACCACAGATATAACACATCATATATTACATGATTTCATTATATGAATGTCCAAAATAGGCAAATTCATAGGGACAGAAAGTAGATGCATGTTGTCAAGGGATGGGAGAGTGGGGATCAGAACTAACTACTAATGGGTATGGGGTTTCTTTTTGGGGTGGCAGAAATGTTCTGGAATCAGTAGGGATGATTGCACAAACTAAACTAATTTAGTGAATAAACTAAAAGCCACTAAAGTGCACATTTTTAAATGATGAGTTTTATGTTATTTGAATTATATCACAATGTAAACAAAAATTTAAGTATAACAGGCTGTAAGAAAAGGGAAGTTAGTAGTAACAAGTGAATTATGCTTCACTGAATCAGCATTCAAGAAATTAGTGTCCAATTATGCCTCTACTTTCAAAAGAGCCTTCTTTTGCCAGAGCTATTTAAATTTGTGCTACTAACTTTATTCTTTTCACAATACCTAGTAGCTAATATGCACTCAATAAGTGATGAATGAATGTATACATATGAAAAGCCCACATTCAATTTTCTAACAAACAAGATTTTTAAAATGCATTCATTTTGGGAAATAGCAGGAAAGCCACCCAGACTTTTCATAAGGAATCAAAAAACCCAACATAGTGGCCCAACTAAAAACTGAATAAGCACCAGGAAGCTTGACTACAGAGTACTTAAGCCTTGAGAATATTCTCAAAAGAGTTTTACTCAATGAATGATTTGAATTGGGAATTCTCAAAGTTTGAGATGCTTTCAGTTATATCAATTAAAGTCTTGAACTCTTTTTAAGGTTCTCAAAATAAAATCAACTGCACATTCTTAAATAGTGAAAGCAAATCTATACAGTATATTTATAGAGAGAAGAGCATAGTACTAAGCAGGCAAATCACAGCCAGGAGTAAAAATTCCAAAAAGATTTGGAATAACAATATCGAAAGGATTTGACACAAGATTTGTTTATCTCTAGAGAGAAGTTCCAAAGCCCCAGTGAGTTCTGTTTTCAGGGAATATCTGAGCTGGGGTATGGTTTCTCAGCACATAATAACCCGTAGAAACTGAATCCTTAATTTATAGAGGAGGAAACAAAGACTCAGAAACACAAAGGGACCAGCCTGAGACCACCCTGCTGGTTAGGGCCAGAGCTGAGCCTAGAACCCACACTTCTTGATTTCCAGTGTTGTGTTTTCCCACTGCCTCTTTCATCAGCTTTTGCCAGAACTCTATACATTATGCTGTTTTCAAACTGTGTGGGATATGCTGAGAAACTGTTGGAATTTTAATGTGGCTAAGGTGACCATAATGAGTTTCCTCCAGATTCACAGATTTCATAAATACCATAAGTGAAGGTTTGGCCTGGGTTCAATAGAAAAAAAAAAAAAAAAAAGAATTTCCTACTTGCCCATAGGCTCCTCATCTTGGCCTTAATGCTTGGAACTATTTGAAAAGTTGCAATTCTTCCCATAAATTTAGCTATCCCCTTCAGGTGGGCAAATTCATCCTTCTGTATACAACCTCAGTGAATGCCACTCATTCTTTGAGCTGGTGAGGAGGAGGGGGAAGAAGCCAGCTTTGACTTCAGGCTTTGCCAAAAACAAGTCATATAATTTATAGCAGAACTAAGGAAGGTATAATCTGCAAATTGGCTGTGTATTTATTTTTCTAAGACATAAGTGAAGAGTTCTTGGGAGGTAGCACCACATGGCAAAGTGTAAGTTCTTTGGAGGCCAGGGGAAAAATATCTTCGTGGGGAGAAATTGCAGAGGCAGCGTGGGGGACAGCGATTGGTTTTGTCTACCGAGCACTCATTCTGCCTTCTTTTGATCAAAAAAAAAAAAAAAAAAAGCCTCACTTTTCCTTTGGAGGAACACCCACTGCTCTCAGTCCATAAAACATGGACAGAGCTGAAATTTACCAGTCCACTGCTCTACCAACTCAAAGGGTGGTCATGTGACTCAAGTTTGATTAGTCAAGATATTCTATCCCCCACCACTGTGATTGGCTCGAGGATAGCCCCCTAGAAAAGCCGGCCAATGAGACTCCACCCCAAATTTATACTGGGCACTTTGGGAAAGAAAGCTCTCCTGTCACTTGAGTCACAGCTGTGAGAAGCTGCCAGGAATACCATGGCAAGAGATCCCACCTGTAAGACACTCTATACCAATGCAACACAGGGAAGAGCAAGGACAAAAAATGGTGAGCAAGATAAAAATGGGCAAAAGGGACACCAAGTGGAAACCTGGATTCTGCCCTTCCTAAAGAAAGAACTATCTCTGGGCTATAACTATGGCAGCATTTTTTTTTTTTTCCTGGAAACTAGCACTAGAAAATCTAAGATTTTCTAGAATCTTAAATAGCAGCACTTTTGGCTTAAGTTCAGATTCTGTCACTTGCAATAGAGACAGATAGTACCATGCAGTGGTTATGCAGACTCCGAAAACACAGAAACTAAACGTGGATACTGGTTCAGTCACTTTTCTAGTTATGAGACCCTAAGCAAGTTATGCAATCTCTCTAAGTTGCAGTTTTCTCATCTGCAAAATGGGAAAAATAATATTTGCTACTGGGAGCAGTAAATAAGTCATCTACCCAAAGCACTTACAATAGTTGCTGCCATATAACTGGTGTTCAACAAATGTGAGGTATAAGTTTTAAAAAACATACTATAATAAAAGCAATCTGATGCCTGCTATCAAAGATTAAAGTTACTACAATACTTTTCTATTTTTCTAAGTTTCACTAGTACATGAGGAACACTTGTCACTTAAATAGCTTGTCATCAAACAGAGGCATAGAAATGAACCTGAATATCATACTTAACATACTTTCTGATGTTTCTAACAGAGGAGAAATAACATTGAAGAGATAATCATTATAGTTCACTAAGAGAATAAAGAGTGCTCTAGGCTGGGCGTGGTGGTTCATGCCTGTAATCCCAGCACTTTAGGAGGATGAGGTGGGCGGATCACTTGAGATCAGGAGTTCGAGGCCAGCCTGGCCAACATGATGAAAGCCTACCTCTACTAAAAATTAGCCGGGCATGGTGGCGCATGCCTATAATCTCAGCTACTCAAGAGACTGAGGCAGGAGAATTGCTTGAACCCAGGAGGCGGAGGTTGCAGTGAGCTGAAGTCTCACCGCTGCGCTCTAGCCTGGGCAACAGAGTGAGTAAGACTTCATCTCAAAAAAAAAAAAAAAGAGTGCTCTAGTATAGCCTATGCTCTATATGTCAACTGTGTTCAAAACAAACTAAAGCAAAATATTTAAATCTATGTATGAAAAATTCCAGAAGAAACTGCAATAAAATGAGTGAATGAGAGTGAATATTGCCTGATATTAAGATTTCTCTTTTACTTTTCTCTGTTTTCTAAGTGTATTCAATAAGCATCAAATGTATTTTTGTTTTGAAAGTTTTTTTTGTCTGTACCAAGCTTTCAGAATGTTAATTAAAAAATTGAAGAATGATAGACTATCAGAGATGAAAGAGAGAATAGAGACCATTTTCACCAACTCTCTCATCTTACAGAGGAGAAAAACTTGTTCAAGATCAAATAGCTAGGCACCGACAGCACTGAAATTTTAGCCCAACATATCTACTAATTCAGAAAAGTTCTTGAAGGAGACACTGTTGATTGAACCACATCACCTAGGTTAATTCTACCAGTCTTTCAAGACCCCTTTTAAATATCACCTCCTCCAGAAACCTTTCCTTGGGCATCAACTAGAAGAAATCTTCCCAAACTTCAATCTCCATAGCACCTTATTTTTACTTTATTATTGTCCTTATTATTCTTCAGGTGTGCTTATGTCTCCTTTATTAATCAATAAGTTCCTTGAAAGGGACTTGGTGTCTTTTTCATGTCTGTTCCCCTAGCATCTGACACCATGCATTGGCAAGTAGTAACCACTTAGTGAAAGGTTGCTGAAAACAGGATATTATATTGCTTCAGAATCTATGTAACATAATTGTCTTAGTTTGGAAATAGAACTCAATTACATAAACAGAGAAGTCATCATCACAGGATCTTTCCTGGGCACAAGGAAGATGATACTTCCTAGGCCCATTGCAGTTGGGAAGGACTCCAAGACTAGATTTGGCCAAAGAGCTGTAAGTAGAAGTGCTGTGTGTCATTTCCAGTCTGGGGCAGTGAAAAGCTTTTGTGAGACTCTCCAGTTTTATCTTCTCTTACCTTAGCATCCCAGAAGCCACTGCTGAGAAGCAGGGACCTTAAAAGGAGGTAGTCATCACTTGGAGAACTACACTGGAGAGCCACTGGGTTTACATCAGGCAATTCATGAACAAGAAAGATGTCTTTGTTGCATCAGGTCACCAGGATTTGGGGGTTACTTTGTTGCTGCAGCTTAATTTAGCTTTGCCAGACTAAAGCACAGACATTGTGACAGAGACTTCCGTTGGTAATCCATTCTTTCTTTATTCTTACCTACAGAATCTTGGGCAATGTTCCCAGCTGAAAAAATATATTACATTACATTACATCACATCATCCACATCACATCACATCACATCAGCCAGCGGTGGCCAATGGGATCTAAGCAGAAGTTATTAATAGGTCCTTCAGGAAGTTCTCCTTCCTATTGCCCAACTAGACCTCCAAAATAATGACTGGAGCTTCAGCAGCCTTCTTAGACCATGAGGTATCCTTGATAATAGAAGTCACAAACTAAGAGTGATAGATGGAAAGATACGACAAGTAAACAGGAAAGTAGAAAAAGAGTGCTATTTAACACCTAATGCAAGTTGGGGAAGAATAGTATTCTATTCCACTGCTTCCATCTTCTGAAAAACTGAAGAAAAAATTTGACCTCTCAGTAAGTCTAATATTTTTCAAAATGCATTTTTTACATTAGCGAATTCTGAAAGAAATAAAACCAAAATTACATTTCTCCAACATAATTCCAAGTATATTAACTGTAAAAACTATGAGAGGGAAAAGGCGTATTTAATGTTAAAATTAAAAATGAAGAGTAAAAGTGACTTGATATTTCATATTATTAAGACAAATTTTAAAGGTGAGGCATTCTTCTGGGAGAAGCTGCATGTTGAGAGAGTAGGAGAATTTAAACATTAGAGAATTTAAAAACAGGTTCAGTGAAGTATTTTTTATACTTCTTACCATTAGCAATTCCCTTAGGGACTCATCCAGCTTTAAAAAAGTTTTATTAAGAATGGTGTCTGCTATTATTTTAATAAGAACTGTTACCAAAATATAACTGACTCCAAAGAAAAGATATAATATTGAGAATCACCAAGACCTTCATTCTTTTCTGCTTTTTTTTGGGGGGGTGGCGGGGGAGGGGGGACTAAAATGTTGGCTCACTTTATGTCAGCTATTTGCTTCTCAAAATCTGTATTTTTATTAAAAAAAATAAAAGCACATTTTAAAAATTATGAAACCACTATCCCTATCAGGGTTGCTTCTGTAAATAGACACACTTTAAATCCATAAAGACCCGTACCTCTGCCAATGGGTACAAATTCCATCTCTCTAAGTCATGTGATTCTGTCCTTTATAAGCCTAGGAGATGTCCCTTCACCCCCTCACGGCCAAAGGGAAATTCGAAATGGCAAATATTTTCAACATCAGGCATTTCAGACCACCTGAACTAATGACAACTATAAACAAAGGGCAAGAGTCATGTACCCAGAAGAAAAGATTTCAAGATCTTCCTTGAAACATACCCTACAAGAGTGTTTATTTCCAGTGTGAAATTTCTCAGGAAGCCTTTCACCCACCAGTTTTCCTAGAAAACGTCATGCATGTGCCCTTGTACACAGTATCTTATCGGTTGCCCAGAGCCGGGCTTTGAGGATAGAAGGGGGTTATGACAAAGCAGCTGTTATTTTAAATCTTTTTTTTTTCTGAATATGACTTAACATCTTTTCGGCTAGAACCATGTCGTCTCTAAAATAAGCCTTATTTCAATACAAAGCTTTTCAGATGACGGATACCACAAGTTCCAGGGTTCATTTAAAAATCAGAAAGCCTTGGGTGTCCCTGATATTTTTGTAGCTGACCCTTGAATGCATAGAAGGGTTAAAAGATAACAGTAGGAAGAGAAAGGCCTGGGTTCCCGTGACTGCACCTGCTACCAGCCGTGTGAACTTAGGCAAGTGACTTAACTCTTAGCCTCCATTTCTTCACATCCAAAATGAAATGAATAATCTCTACTTTATGTGGTTACTGTGAGGGTTGAACAAGCTGATGCATGTAAAGTACTTAACACAGTGTCCAATGCATCGTAAACACTCCATAAATATGAGCTATTGCTAAAGCATTCCTCTTTCTGTTTAGCTAACAGAACTCTGGGAAGACTCACTGACAGGCAAATTCAGAAATTCTTGGAATTATTGCCAGACACAGATACTAACTAAGGCCTCTGTGGGTTTGGGCCATTCTGAGTAGCAGCACTTGGTCCAAGTGGGTAAGCCAGACACGTAGCCTACAGATCTGGCCTCTGAGGTCCATCCACAGGAATTTAAAACTACAATTGGCAGAATGACGCCTATTTTGTGTCTACATCTACCATGCTGCCCAGAGTGGCTAAATCCTTTACCATAAACTGCTCCAAACAGCAACCCCTTTTCTCCTACCAGACATGCAAAAAAATGAATCCATGTGTGCATAAGTAGCAGTTCCAAAAATAATAGTGACATTAGATACTATAAGACCATGGGACAGAAGAAATTGTCCTGGGAAAGAATGTTCAGGAAAGAATTTATTGAGGAAACATGATTTGATCTGGGTTTTGAAGGATGAATAGAAGTTAGACATATGGATAAGAGAGAAAGCATGCCTTGGGTAGAGAAGAACATGACAAAGCTGTAGAGGTAGTAATGAGCAAAGACAAGCCAGTGGGTAATGAGTAGAGCTGAGAAGCTGTGCAGAGAAATGTGGGGTGGGGTAGGAGGGCAGTTGTGATGGTATAAGGAGCTGGAGACTCCGAGTAAGACAGGGACTTGATAGGGTCAAATTCATCTTTGTGTGCACAGGACAGAGCCTAGCACAGAGGAGTGCTCAATAAATACCTGTGACTACATCAGTGAATGCATAAACAAAATAAAATTGAATTTTCAGATGATTTGCCTGGCTGGACGTATTGGAGGAAAGAGTTGAGGATGGCAGCCCAGGTAGGAGGTTACTACAATAGTCTAAGCCTGGGTGATAAAGAACAAAACCAGGAAGTTCATGATCAACGTGAGAAATGTGTTGAAAGAAGAATTTTAAGACGTTAAAGATTGGCTGCATAGTGGAAGGAAGGCAAATTCCAAGGTGCTTTGGGCTCAGGGCCTGTGTAATTGGCTAACTGAGACAGCAGTGAGGACAATATTATCAAGAGCAAGTGTGAGAGTGAGGAAAAGAAGGTATAACAAGTCCAGCTTTGAGCACTTGAGGTGATGGGAAAGCAGCCACGTGCAACTGTCCCGTCCTCATATGAAAAAAAGGGTCTAGGAGCAAACCAAGATAACTGGAGGGTCCTCTTGAAGGAGACATTGTGATTCCCCAGCCTCAAAAGCATTTGTCTTATACTTGTTTTTCTTAGACAGCATTCTAAAACTATGTTAAGCTCTACATATAGTATTTTTTGAAAAATTGAGATTCAGAAAACAACCTCCAAGACTCTAAGTCTGGTATCATGCTGCTATTATGTGTGGAAACTTTCCTGAGGGCTAGTGTAAGAGTCCCAAATGCAGCTGCATCAGAATCACTTGGGTGTGGAGCCCTGGGATCTGTATTTCTAGCCTGCTCTTCAAGTCATCTGATGCTCACAGGAGTTTAAGAATGGCTGGCATGGAGAAAGGGAAGCCTCTCGATATCCCATACACACTGCCTTTTGACTCACTCCTACAAGAGTTCACCTAGGGTAACTGGTTAAACATAAGAACTCTGGAGCAAGATTGCTAGGGTTCAAATCCTGGCTCTTACTCTAGCTGCTTGTGCTTGAGTATGCTATTTAATTTCCAAGTCATTTAATGGACTGTCTAATATTTCCTGATCTAAACCAGGAAAATAAAGATGGTACTCCCACATGCGTTCCTATGAGGATTTTTTGTGTTAACACATACGAAGAACAGTTTCCAAGTTGGGCACTATGGACATTTGCATGGTGTGAGTGTTTGTTGTGGAGAGCTGTCCTGAGCATTGCAGGATGTTTAGCGGCATCCCCGGCCTCTACCCACTAGAAATCTGCAGCACCCTCCCTCCCAATCATGAGAATCAAAAATGTCTCCAGATATTGCCCAATGTCCTCTGGGGGCAAAATCACCCCCTAGTTGAGAACCACTGGCACAGGACAGTGCCTGGCCTTTGGTAAGCACTGGCTGAGTGTTAGCTACAGTCTCTCCTGAGCATTTGTTAGAAGGAATGCTGAATACTTTATGTTCATTGGCTCATGAATTCTCCCAACAACCCAGTAAGGTAGGTATTCTTGTCTCCATCTCTATAAATAAAGAAACTGAGGTTCAGAGTGGCAAATACCTTGCCTAAAGTCACCCGGCTAGCAAATCGTGGGGAAGACCTCCAATCAAGGTCAGCCTGATCCTCAGTCCCCAGCTCGCACAGCACTGCTGGCACAGTGCCAGATAATCATGCTCTCCTCTCACCAAGCAGTTGTCAGGGCTGTTGCCCTTGTCACACTTTTCTCCATGGGCAAGAGAGAAATCACAGTCACAGCACCCCTGTAGCCTACCGTCATGGGAATGTACCATCCTCCTACCTTGAATCCTGAAAGTCTGCAATCTAAGGTTTCACTCTATATCGGGGATAAGCTTCAGTTCACAAAACTAACACATGCTCATCTCACTACCTGGGTTAGGGCCCTCCTATGTATGTCCATCTGGCATGGGTGGATCACCCTGAGTAGTCTTCTCTGTGCTCCTGCGAGCACCCTCTCCTGGGACTGCACCCCATGCCTCTGTTTCTACACCACAAACACAGGACAAGTCACAGAGAGGTGTGCAAGAAATGGACTATTTGTTGAAGGAGTAAATAAATGACCTCTCTGTCCCTCAGGTTTTCTGAGATGTAGGCAGAGGGTCAGCCTCACTCTTGTGTTCTGTGAGATGATGGAAAGTATTACAGGCTTCAGGGACTGATCCACCTGGCTTTTCTAAACCCAAGCAGCACATACGTGATGAAGATGGAGCACCTGAGTCCTCCAAGCAGGCATTTCAGCTGAGGTTATTGGAAGAATGCCTTGCCACGCTTGTGCTAAAAAATCAGGGAGCAACCTGAATCAATAGCAAATTCCTAAAGATGTCTTCCCCTTCTAGTGAACTACATTTCAATCTATTTCATCATTTATGAGTTAACAGCTCTGGCTTCGGTATCAGTACACTGACCCATCACTCATTAGCTATATGATTTTGGAGCCACATGTCTGCTCGCTGAGCTCCAATTCCCTCATCTGTAAAATGGGGATCAGAATAACTACATCACAGGGTGGTTCTGAAGTTTAAGTGCATCAAGATACATAAAATACTTAAAACAGTGCCTGGCATACAATGAGCACTGTTATTAATATTTGTTGTATTGTTTTTTATAATATGAAAAAAATCACTTAATTGTCACAGATGTTAAAACAGAAGTTTTGCAGAGGCACATTCCAGAAGAAGGGCTAGATAAAATGCACAGAATAAGAGTTCAATAGGCTGTAGTGGTTGTTATTCACTATCTGGACCACACTGCTATCATAAGAACATGCTAGGTATGTGCTTCACGAGATGCAAAGATAATCCACAAAGGGCAGTTGGACTGTGCAGACACAGGGAAGAAGGGAGAAGGAGGTGATTTCAGACCCAGATTTCACAAAGAGCTGAGACAGCCAGCTATAGAAAGGTGTGAGTTGCGACTCGTGACCCAATACTTCCTGCCACAATACTGAGAACTCGTTTTCAACATGTTCTGTGGGCCCAGCCACAAGGGTGTTCCCTTCCACCTCCAAGCATGACTCTGATGATGCTGCCTGGGGCTAAAACAGGTAGTTGGTGAATTCTTCCTTTCAGTTCCAGTCTCCTGAAAACTCAGGTACCAAAAGTCATGCACAGTGCATCCCCTCAGAAGCTGTGAAATAGAAACTTTCAAAAGATAAGCTCATGTTTAACCACACAACCTGTGTCATTTCATAATTCTAAGCTTTCATAACCTGCATTTCCTGGGTAGCTGGCATTATGAAAGTGCCATGTAATATGCTCAACAAAGTCATAAGGAGGAATATGCAAGGTTCTTAGGTGAATTGAATCACTCTTCAAAGACTACACAAAGCTTAATTTGGAAAGATTGCAGGAGTTGCCTTCACTTCCTTGAATTCTCACTTTAATCTCCACCTCCTACCACCTTGCCATCTATCTCTTCCCAGGCCTGATTTCACCCACCTGGCTTGGAGGTCCCTCTCCTATTTCCTAGAGCTGATTTCTCCATGAGGATACTTGGTCTCACTCATATCTTCACTGCCTGGAAAAGGAGCTTGAGTCTCCTGTTTTCTAAAAAGAAACAAGAAAAAAATACTACCCAGAAAACTTCCTCAACCCTACCGTCCCCTCAAGTGTCTCCTATTTCTCATCTTTTATTACCTCCCAGTGGGTTCACAAATGCTGACTATAAACTGGCTTCATCTAAGTCATCTGCAAAAACTCAGTTTCCTAGGCCTGTCAACTAAAGATTTGACTCATAAGGTCTGATGTGAGGTCTAGGAATTTGTAATTTTTAAAAACCCTCCAGGTGATTACAGTGTTCAAGCCAAGTTCAAAAAACCACTGGTCTATGTGTCCTCTATTTATTTCATTACCATTCACTCCAAACACCTGCTAAACTGATGCGCTCACTACTGAAATTGCTTTCTCAAGAGCCACCAAAGACTTCTAGTTGCGGTGTTCAGTGGCTTATTCTCAGTGCTCCTTCTCAGCTTCTCAGTGGCAATCCAGAAGGCAACAGTGCTCCACTTTGGCTCTCTCTCCTCCCTTTTCTGTTGGGAACCTTTTAACCCTACTACGACCACGCAAGCCAGTACGCCACATCTGCTGTGTCCACTTCCTCCTTCCACCCCCTGACGCGTGTGCACAAGCAAGATTCAGACAGTGGTTTTCTGCTGCTCCATCTTTGGAGATCTCATCCAGTCATATCATTTTACTGGGCCTTGAAACTGACTTCCAAATATGTCTCTCCAGTCACTGTGCATGACATTTGGTACCTGAGTTTTCAGGAGACTGGAACTACCAAATATGTCTTGATTTCCCTCCTGGACTAGACTCCCTTCATACATGCATTCTCATCCTTCAATTTAGCAACTCCCAAAGTCATTTCCCCCAAAACTAATGACTCTTCCAGAAATCCCCACTTCAGCTAATGACAATCATTTTGCCAATAATCTATCTTTACAAGTTTAAAATGTCTCCTGCCTTTCCTCTCTTTTCCTACTTTTTTGTGCTTTTTGATTCTTCCTTTGCAATATTTACCAGTATTACTTCTTGCACATCTCCTTTCCACCTCTAGAGCCTCTACCTGAACTGTCTTGTCTGCCTGACATTTTCTAACTCTCATCTCCACTTCTCTAAACCCTGGACTTCCTTTAAGTCCCACACCAAATTCTCCCTCTTTCATGAAGCTTTGATCTCATGTCCACTTTAGCACATAGTCATGTCTTCTTCTGCTGACCACCATGAATGTTTAACTTCTGTTCTATTCATGTAGCACTCACCACTTGCTGCCTGAAAATACTATTTCTCTATTTCTCTCACATTCTCTCCCTGCCACTGGATTATGAGTCTTTTCTTGAGGGCAAGGACTCTGTCTAATAACTTCTTAAGACCCCACATTGTAGCACTATTCTTATGTTTAATAAATATTGCTGGTCATAAAACAGAAGCCTTTTTTTGACAACTCAATACCCATAATAAGCCTAATTATTTGCACCAAAGGCAAAAGGCTAGATGACTAGCACTCAGTAGCTAGAACAGCTGATGCAGCACCCTGTTGGCACAATATGCATGAATGCTTCCCACTTTATTCCAGGCCAGTGTTTCCAGCCATCATGTCAGAGCTGAGTGGAGTGGCACTGGGTGCCAAGGCAAACACCCAGCCCAGCTGTGCTGGGAAGAACTGAGCTCCAATGTGTCTTGTGACCCAGCTCCTCCCACCCACCTGGCTGTGTCTCCTATCCTGCAGGTACCAATCCAACTAAGCTAAGGGACTAGGTCCCTGCCATTAATTGAAAACAGGTGAACAAACATGAGAAGAAGGCATGATTGTGTTCTAGTTGCCTCGGTGGGGGACAGGGGGTAGTATAGCAGGGGGAAGGGCAGATGCTGAATTTTGAGCATTGTTCCAACTGCTGGAAACCCTGGTCAACTAACACAACTTCCTCTAGCATTATAATATTGCGTCCCATATGAAGAGTCCCCAGTGTTGGAAAGCGCACTCCTGGAGTTGGTTTTCCAATAGGATGTGTTTGTGCTCCCTCCTACCTGCCTCATGACACATTCATACACAGAGGCAGAAGAGGCAGGCAGAGTTAGAAGCTTTTACTATGGTGACCATGTAGGATAGGTAAGCCACAATCTCAATTTCTAATTCTCTTGTAAATACCCAAATAGTCTTCCGGGGCGGCAGGCGGCGGTGCCAGGGGAGGCAGGCGGCAGCGCAGGAAAGGGGCTTTCTGGTGATTATCATTTAACTTTTTTCTGTATTTTGTAATTTTCCTGTAATTTCATACAGTTACAACAAATAACAATGAATGCAATATCTAATAACCAAGGGAAAAGCATAGATACATGCTCTTTTCATTCATTTGCATTACTTATCCTTGTCGAGCCAGATGCTTCCGTTTTGATTTGGCAAATTCACTTACCATTTAATGCCAGACCAGCCTGCCACCCTGGGCTTTTTACCTTTCTCAAGCCAAGCATGCCAGGGAGTGAGATTTGGGAAACCAGGGGCACAAAATGCCCAAAGAGTTTTCTGCAGCAGAAGCAGTTTAAAATGACTCAAGGCCCCTGTGATCCCTTCCAAGAACAAGAAAGACATTTCAAATAGGTTGGCTATGCGTGCTGGGATCATTCCCTCAACTCTAAAATGTCATCTTGTGGATGTTTTCTGGAAGTAGAGACTCTGCCTAGGGCATGTGGGTGCTTGTCTTTGATTTCCAATGTAGACAGTGATTAGGAGACAGGAGTGAAATGAGTCAGCTGCATTTCTAGAGGATTTTCTAAGTAATCTAAAAGAATGAAATGGGTCTTTATGTACTAGTTTGGAAAGGTCTTCAAGATATATTAAGCAAAAATTAATGTGAACAATATGATCCCATCAACATGAAAGAATGAAACTATAAATTTTCAAACACGTAAATGCACACATAAAAAAATCAAACATAATAGGGATTACCTATTTTTTAGAAAAGAAGCATGAGATAGCAAATGGGAGTTTTCATTTTGTATATGATTTTTATAAGAAGGTTTGGTTTACTTATATCATATACATTAAAACATTGTCTAAAGGAATATAAGAAATGTCTAACCGGCCAGGTGCAGTGACCCACACCTGTGATCCCAGCAATTTGGGAGGCCGAGGTGGGCGGATCACTTGAGTCCAGGAGTTCGAGGCCAGCCTGGCCAACAGGGCAAAAGCCTGTCTCTACTAAAAATACAAAAATTAGCCAGGCGTGGTGGTGCATGCCTGGAATCCCAGCTACTTGGGAGACTGAGGCAGGAGAATCACTTGAAACTGGGAGGCGGAAGTTGCAGTGAGCCGAGATTGCACCATTGCACTCCAGCCTGGGCAACAGAGTGAGACTCCGTCTCAAAAAAAGAAAAAAAAGTATCCAACCAAGGCTAATAAACCATCTAGGTAGTTTTCTATCTATGCCTGAAAATAGCTACAATAACTTTTGGGTAGGGAGAAAAAAATAACTTCAAATAATCCACTTACTTTATCCAATCCATCAGCAAATCCTGTTGGCTGTTCCTCAAAATATATGCAGAATTCAGCCACTCTTCAGTATCTCCCCTGCTCTTACCTTGTCTAAGCTCTGCCATCACTCACAAGCATGATGGCAATGGCTTCCTGACTGTCCCGCCTGCTTCCATCCTTGTGCTTGCACTGTCTGTTTTCCACACTGCTGGTCCTGAAAAATGCTACTTTCCACTAAGAAGCCTCCAGTGGCTTCTCATGTCATTCAGAGGAAAAGCCAAAGGTCTTAACAGTGACTGAGAGGCCCTGTAAGCCTCCATAATCTCTCCAACCCCATCTTCTGCTACAGATAGTCCCAGCCACACTGGTCTCTTTTCCGTTACAGAACACTCAAGGCACACTCCTGCCTCAAGACATTTGCACTTACTGTTTCCTCCACCTGGAATGCTCTCTCTTCAGATTGCCCCGTCATTGTTCTCCTTACTTTCTTCAGGTCTCTGTCCAAATGCCATCCTTTTCATGAGGCTTTCTCTGATTGCCCTAAATGTTCACTCTCATTTTTCTTTTATTTTTTACCAAAATCAAACACACTCTGTATTTTATGTTTTATTTGGTATATTGTCTGCCTTCCCCTACTAGAATAAAAGCTCCATTTGGAAAGGGTTTTTTTTTTTTCTGTTTGTTTGTTTGATGGCTGACTTGCTTGATTGTTTTTAATCAGTTTAGCTTATGGCTGTATCCTAGCACCTAGAGTCATTCCTAGACCATATTAGATGCTCAATAATGTTTTGTGGGATAAATGAAGTTTGAACAAGCCTTTTTATACACACCCTTAACTATTAAATCAAGCTTGTTTCCTTTTGTGGGGATATGGTAGTCACTTTCCTCCTCTGAGAATAGTATTAGAGATTAATAGATTAAAATGCCCAAGTATTCTGCAAGCTTGGCAGGAAGGTGTTGCCCAAATGCACGTAGCAGCTCCTTGTGCTGAGGGCCATTCCTTCATGCTGTCTGTCAGCTGTGTCTGTTGTGCCTTAGAACAGAACATGTGCCTAATGTGTATCAGCACAAGCTGCCCACACGTACCACCCTAGCAGGAGAAGGAGGTCATGTCCAGTTACAGACTGCTGAGCTATTGCACAAGCTACAGAAAGGGAGCCCAGCTCTAGTCAACAAAAGCAGATAAAGTACTTGACCTATAGAGAAGCAAGAGGGAAAAAGAAAAGGCCCAAACTTACAGAGCATAAGAGGGAAAGAGAAAAATTGACCTACATACACAACATTTGGAAAAGATGCATGTTGGAAAGAACAATTTGAGGGTGAGTCTATCCAAAGTCTCAGTAGGTATCGAACATCCTAACACTGCTGTCGAGCCTTGACTTCTGCCACAAAAGTAAATCGTGTTTTTCCTGTGTGAACACGTTCGTATTGTTTCTCAGATGCTCAAGTCAGAACTCACCTGGCCTCTAACTGTCAGAGGGAAAATGATGACGTGGACACATCAGGGCTTGGAAGCCAAACAGACATACGTTCCAATACTAACTCCACTAGAACTACCAACTCAACTCTGGACAAGTTGTTTAACATTTGTGTAACTCCCTTTCCTAGTATATCAAATGAAATAGTGATATAGGAGTTAAGAAGAAATTACTTAGGCAGACAGTGAGGGTACGGGAGTCCTCCATAAGGTTTTCCTTTTAATGAAAAGCAGCCCCCAAATCATTTTCTTTTCTAACAAAGAACAGCCTGTAAAATCGAGCTGCAGACATAGACAAGCAAGCTGGAAGCTTGCACGGGTGAACGCCGGCAGTAGTGCCAATAGGAAAAGGCTACCTGGGACTAAGCATGTTCAAAATGGCGGCTCCATCTTCCCTTCTCTTTGCCAAACCATGTGTACAGTAAGGAGAAGACAATATGGCACCAGCCAGGCAAAGACCCCATTTGCATAATAAGATTAGAATGGGGCAACCAGCCTTTCCCTCCCTATGTAAACCTCATACTTGGTAGAGCCAATCTGTGGGCCCTACATAAATCAGACACTGCTTCCTCAAGCCTGCCTATAAAATCCAGCGCAGTGCCCCACAGGCCAGCTTTTTCCTTTCAGGAGCTCACCTCTCTCTGGCAAGGGAGAGAGCTGTTCTCCTTTCTCTTTCTTTTGCCTATTAAACCTTTGTTCCTAAACTCACTCCTCGTGTGTGTCCGTGTCCTTAATCTTCTTGGCGTGAGATGACGAACCCTGGGTATTTACCCCAGACAATGATGCCGCTTCAATAGGAATAATATCTATTATGCAGGCAGGTCTTTCTGTAGATTAAAACTAATATATATTTATGTATATATATAAAACTAACAAGCAATGGGCCCTCAATAAATAGTAGCAATGGTCATCATTATTAATACTAGTACCACCATTGATAATACAATAATAATGAGTCTTAACCCTGGCAGACTCAATTTAAATTTGAGCTGGAATGTGCAGGGTTTTGTCTGTTCATTGTGTTTTTTGTTTTGTTTTCCTTTGTTATGTCACTCCTTCAGTGCCATCAGACTGCCTTTGTATTTCTTTTTCAGAGATTTCTGGGGGCTGTTTCCAGTAAACAGGTAATGAAATGAAAGTGTCATTTTTCTTCCACAGTCATTGTCAGCCAGTTTGAATTTAGGGTGGCAATCACAAGGAAGATCTGCAGCCACATGCCATCTTGTAAAGCCTAAAAGGGGAATCTGAATCTGATCAAATTATTCTTAAAAGCCTTTGGTGACCTCCAGTCTGTTAGGACAAAGACTAAAGTCTTTCTTGAGGCCTTCAAGGCCCTTCAGAACTGGCCTTTACTTATCTCCCCATTTTTCTTGGCCCATCACACTCTAGTCACCCTACCTTCTGCCACTTTTTTGAATTTGTTATATTGTCTTCCTAGACTAGACCCCTCTCCCAGCTCTTCACTGCCCAATCCCTTCAGGACCCAGTGGAAATATCATTTTCTTAAGGAAGACTGACTGAGCCTCCAACAGGATTCCTGATCATATGGTCTCAAGGAGACCTGTACTTTTCTTTACCAATATTGTATTGCTATTCATTTGTTATTTGTCTTTTTCCATTTATTGTCTACCACTTCTAGGCATTAATTTCATAAGGGCAGTGACCTCGTCATCCTTTCTCATAGCTGAAGCAGCTGCTGAAGTTTAGTAGGGCTGGGCATAGAAACTTGCTTTATAAATATTTGTTGAAAGAATAAGTGGAGTCATGAGCGGGTAGATGCTGTTTTTGGGTAGATGCTGTTTTAGGCTAGTGGCACCCAGCTTGGATCTTTGCAAGGTCCCTTTGGAGAACAGAGCCATTCTGAGAGACAGAAGAGCGATAACCAGCAATGCCATAAATAGTAGAAGGCAAATAATGTGCATTGACAGAGGGAAGGCCTTCTCACCACATTGACAGGGTTTGTCTGCTCTGAGGCAATGCCATTGACAAAGGACACACATAAACTACTACTGGTGGAGCAGGAATAGGCCTTCTGCAATCTCATGCCTTCGGCAGCCCTCACTGAGAGTCTAGCCTTGCCCTGTCCAATATAGGACAGCCACTAGCCACATGTGAGCCTTTGAAATATGACCAGTACCCCCCAACCCCCACCAAGGAACTGATTTTTAAGTGTTATTTCATTTCATACTTGACATTTAAATTTAAAACCTGATACTCTATTCAGTTGGAAAAAATAAAAATGTTTAGAATAATATGGATATGTGAATCTACTTTTTCAGTTGTAAACTTTAGGAAGTTTAAACCAGGATTAACTATCTCTCTCTCTCTCTCTCTCTCTCTCTCTCTTTTTTTTTTTTTTTTTTTTTTGAGGTAGAGTCTCGCTCTGTTGTCAAGGCTGGAGTGCAGTGGCACAATCTTGATTCTCTGCAACCTCTGCCTCCTGAGTTCAAGAGATTCCCATACCTCAGCCTCCCTAGTAGCTAGGATGACCGGTGTGCACTACCATGCCTGGCTAATATTTCGTATTTTTAATAGAGACAGAGTTTTGTCATTTTGGCCAGGCTGACCTTGGACTCCTGACCTCGTGATCCGCCCTCCTCAGCCTCCCAAAGTGCTGGTTACAGGCATGAGCCACCGTGCCCAGCCAGGACTATTTCTTAAGGAAAATTTAGCATCCCATTTGAAACGTGCTGCAAGTGTAAGATATGCCAAATTTCAAAGGCAATACCGGAAAAAGGCAAAATATCTCAACAATTTTTATATTTATACACATTAAAAAATTTTAGAAATATGAGGTTAAATAAGCACATTCTAAAAAATAATTTTATCTGATTTTTTTTTTAATGTGGCTACTAGGAATTTTTAAATTGCTTTTGTTGTCATATTGCATTTCTATTGGACAGAGCTTCTCTAGAGAAAGAGAGATGAGAAAACATTTCTTTCAAACCAGAGCCCCAAAGTTTTAAACAGATATCACAGTGGCCCATATTTGGAAGGAAGGGACAATTAAAAAGAGAATCTTCCTTCATTACATGAGAAAAAAACTATTATATTAAAACCTGAAGTGGTAGACACCTGAGTAATATCAGGAATTGTGAAAAAGAAGCACAATTTCTCTTCTTCCACAGATAGCTGTAATGTTCCTCCTTGCAGTATTTTCAACCATGAGGGAGTTGTAGATTACAGAGACAGCTTCCTTTAGACTGACTTGCCTGGCAGATCAGCTAAACTGGTAATGAAATGATGATAGTGACTATAAATTATTGTGTTCTTCTGAAGTACCTTTCCTCTATAGATCTTGCAAGATTTCACAAATGCTAATTAAATCTTTCACAATATCCTACAAGGTCAAAAACTTAACTTCCGTTTGAGTGGTGAGAAAGCAGAGACTATGGTGATTTGCCTAAGGCCACAGAGCAAACCAGCCAAGACTAAGCAGGGAGGGTGCACAGTCCCTCAGCTGGGCTGCTAATCCAGATGGCTTCTCTTAAGGTGCCAGCCAGGCAATCACAAAATTATTCTTTCTTTCCAGAGTGCCAGCACCCACTAACCTGTAAATAGCACCTTGTTCAGGGGGAGTGATATTCTTTGGTAAGTGACCGTAAACTGATTATACCAAGTCCTTCAATGGAGAGATGGTGGTTAAAAAGCAAAACTGAGGCTGGTAAATTTTTACCATTTCTTTGTAGACTGTATGATTTGGGGCCTTGCTGCTCAAAATGTGGTCAGCAGCATTGACATCACCTGGGATCTCATTACAAATGCAGAATCTCAGACCTCACTCCAGATGTGCTGGATGAGAATGGCCATTTTCACAAGCTCCCCAGGATATGTGTGCCTGTTAAAGTTTGAGAAGCACTGATCGGAGGACTTCGGTTATAATCCCACCTCCTTCTATAAGTGATTAAAGAAAATTCACTTATACTCTCCTTTGAACAGCTGTATGCTTCTCAATTTCTCTCTCTCTCTCTCTCTCTCACACACACACACACACACACACACTTTATTTTTCAATCTCTATAGACTTGCTTCTTTGTAAGGCTCTCAATTTCTCCTCCCCAGTGACACAAGCTTGCATGTGGATATAGCTCGTCATGGTGCCTATTTATCTTCAACTTTATGCAACCTTAGCACTCTTTTACTCAGAAACCTTTTGACTGGGAGAGCAGGGCAAACTCAAATCCCTACAGAGACCAGGAAGGCAGCATGGATGAGTGCAGAAAGCTACATTTGTTTCAGAAAGGAATCAGTGTATATTCTTTCAGCAGACACATTTAGTTTGTTTCTTATAAGCCACTAGAAGAGTCATTACTTTCACAAAGTCATATGCTTATTCCCATTTTTCATAAAATATGGCCTATCTTCAGTTTTCCCAGTTTTGATACAGAAAAAAATATAAGAAAGATTTTCTATTTCCTATAACTATAAAAGCCCACTAATAGCACCAGCACAGCCACCCCTGGGCTTCACACAGGGAGTGGCAGGAGCTGTGCAGATGGAGAGTGCATACTGGTGTGAAGGGGGCAATGGATCTCAGCTCCAGCCATTGTCTTCATGCAGGAATTTGGGACCATTTTACCGGATCCTCCCATTTCTTCAAGAGAAGCCGGAAATCTGGATTTCTATGTGAAATCTCCCACTTTTTTATGCTGGCAACTAATTTTCTTTAAACACTGTGCCAAACAAAACATACCTGCAGGCCAAAATCTACACCCTCTGGGCTGGATTTCAATGTCTCTTAAACTCTCAACAGAGAGCATCTTACTGTTTCAGTTCAGGGTAGATGTCTACCCATGGTCCCATCGAGTGGGGTCTGGATATGGAATCAGCTAGAAGAAGCATAGTCTATGCCCATTCTTTCAGCAGGGACTGTGGGCAGGAAACCATTTCCAAAGAAGCAGGCATGAGTTGGTGGCCATACAAATATATATGTTATATTGATAAATATAAAAACAGGAGATTCTGGGGGACCACAAGTTTTTACAAATTAGGCTTATTTTAGGATAAATTCACCCTTGTTAGTGTGCAGTTCTGTGAGTTTTGATATACATATGCAGTCAAGTAACCACTCCCACAATTAAGATACAGAATAATTCCATCACCCCCCAAATTTCTTGTATGCCCCTTTATAGCTAGCCCCTGACCCTAACCTCTGGCAATCACTAATATATTCTCTTTTTCTATAGGCTTGCTTTTTTTCAAAATGTCATATACATGGAATCACACAGTTTATAGCCTTTTGAGTCTGGCTTATTTTACTCAGCATAATGCCTTTGAGCTTTAACCATGTAATTTCATGTATCAGTAGTTCATTCCTATGTATTGCTAAGTAATTTTCCACTGTATAGATGCACCACAGTTTGTTTATCCATTCACCAATTAAAGCCATAATCAACTTCCATGTAGAAGTTTGTGTGTGAACACAGTTTTAATTTATTTGGGGTTACTACCTAGGAGTGAGATTCTGGGTCTTATGGTAAGCATACATTTTACTAAGAAACTATAAAACTCTTTTCCAAAGTGGCTGAACCATTTGACATTTCTAACAGCAATATTTGAAAGTTCCCATTGCTCTGTATCCTCTCCAGTACTTACATGCTCAGCATTTTGGTTTGGTCTGGTTTCATTGTTTCTGAGCTCTTCTGATAGATGTGGAGTACACCCCCATTTTGGATGAATTGTGCCAAATGTGTAGACCATCCTCAAAATCTAAGGTCTCAGTAAAAACAATTAAACATGATTTCTGATATAATGTCTTATCCTTGAAAACCCTGACCCATCCATCTTCAGCACATTCACATGTGTAATAAGGTAAGTGATTTTTAATTCCACCAGGTTTAAAGACCCCTGACGTGACTTATTGCCATTCTGCTACTGAGCCTTGAGAGATTATGGTAAGTGCCAAGAAAAAAAAAATGACTTTGAACTGCTCTTTCACCAGTTAAAAATAACACTGAAACCAAATGTAAACATAAAAGAAGTGGTCAGATTCGGGTTACATATTAACGGTGTTTGGTCAGGCTGGAGCTGAGGCACAGCAGCAGAGAATGCCTTTTACTTATCACTGTTTCCAAACCTCCCTACCTGGACTAGGCTTGACTGGATTTACAAGAGACCTTTTGAAAAGATGCAGAGAAGGCAAGCAGCACACATTTCCTGGTAATAAATTTTAAAGGTTGCTAAAACATTCCAGAGATTTTCACTCAACATTCCTCTGGCCAACACATCTGCAATCTGCCAATCCTTAAAAATAGGTGTTTTTGCATTTTAATCTCACAAACATCTTTGAAAATGCATTTCTTCTCTGCCCCTGTGTTGGACAAATCCAGCTTTTTCCATTTTCTAAAAACCACAGAAATATAATGCTGCTTAATTCATACAAGACTGAGCTAACTGGAGTTAAAATAAAATTTCTGAGAGTTTGTTTGGCTCACTCTTCCCTACCAGATGATTCCATTCTTAAAACGGTCCTGTGATTATATTCTCTCATTACAGAGGTGTCCAGAAAAAAAATAAGGAGTGCAGTTCTGAAATTATATAAAAGCAAAATTATTACTCTAAACGTAAGAGCTGTGATAGATCGTGTCATTGACCATGGTTCTTTTCCCCTGACACACACGTCCCCACCACCCACCCACTGTATCCATATGCCTTTTGCCATATGACTTTGCAGCTCTCCCCACTAAAGGGGCAGCCATGCGATTTGCTTTGGCCAATGAAATGAGGCAGTAGTGGTGGTATCCTAGTTCTGAGCCTAGGTCTCAAGAAGTCTTATGTGTTTCTGCTTATCCTCTTATACCTCTGCCATCACCATGAGCCAAACATCCCCCAAGTAGCCCACTGGTCCCAGGACAAGGAGGGAGACATGAAGCAGAGCTCATCCAGCTGCTGCAGCCCCACTTGACCCAGAGACCTACACTGGGAAGCAGAGCTGCCCAGTCAAGTCCAACCTGGATGTGTGGAACCCCAGCCAACCTGATGCATGAGCAGTAAGTGTCTTTTTTAGCCACTGAGATTTGGACTGGTTTGCTTAGAAGCAAAAACTAACTGATATAAGTACATCCCTGAATTGTTGGCTTTACCTAAATATATATATATATTTATATATACAATATAAAAAGATACATAATATATATAAATATATATTTTATATATATATATATATATATATATCAGTTACTTAGCATTTTAGAACTCTGCATGCTTTCTACATGAGGTTACTTCCAAAGGCAAAAGGTGCTTTAAAAAATTGTAAAAGGAGAAACTTAATAGAAATACCAGCGTCTGTTGGAAGAAAATCTCTCATAGTTCCATGTTGCCTCATTCTGCAAGCAAGCCAACTCTTGATCCCCATCACCCCTGATGGATGGGGCTGGAGTTGAAGTTGCTATCATGCCATAGACTGTTCTATGTACAATTCTTCCTCTTGCATCATTCCGCTTTCTATGGTAGTGGTCCTCAACCAGATCAGTTTAGCACCCCAAAGCATATTGATAATATCCAGAAACATTTTTGATTGTCACAGCTGGGTCGGAGAGAGCATATTATTGGTATCTACTGGGTAGAAGTCAAGGATGCTGCTAAACCCTACAATGCACAGGACAGTACCCAACAACAAAGAAAAAATCTGGCCCAAAATGTCAATATTGCCAAGGTTGAGAGACCCTATCCTCTGATTTAAGTTGAAATTATTTTTTGATTCTTCCCCCTTATAAGAGTATGTAAGTTTGAGGAATTGCATGACAAGAGCTTATTAAATACAGAAAAAAAATCCTTTTTAAAAAAATCCAGACCAACTTTTCTATATGTAATGTGCAATATATATGAATGTATATCATTCAAGGTATAAATGACTTTTTCACAAATATCTCAAATAAGAAAAAGTTGAAGAAAACCTTTGGATATTTCTATATATCTAGAAGCAATTACTAGTACCTCAAATCAGCTGTCAAGAAAATACTTCATTTTAAACATTTTTGAATAAATAAACAAATATGCAAAGGCATCCTTTGCTGATGAGCCTCCACTCCACCCAACCCCCACCCCAAGGGCATTAGAGATTTATAATGCAGCAGTTGCAACGATCTGGGGCATGAGGCCATTTTGAATGAAATTGCTGTGTTATGACAATATCCTTTGGTGTTTCAGTAACTAAACCCTCTTAATGACATCCTAGGGAGATCAGCTTAATATTGAATCCTAGCCTCAATGCTTTGGATTTGTGCCAAGAAAAATAACCTGATCCCCAGAATCATTGAGAATTGACGGGGGTCCTCAGGCTGGTGAGTCAACTGTGGTTGAAATATAGGTGTGGAATAGTACGTATGCGGCTGTTTCTGATGAAAGACTGTATTTGGATAAGCTGTCTAAAATAATGGAACTGGCAAAGCTGGAAGGGACTCCTGAGATTCAGTGAGGGAGGGTTTTTAATGTATGATGGGTTCTGTGAAGGCATTTTTAAAAATACAGAGAATTTTTAAATAGACTGAGAATTCAACAAAAGAGGGGACCTAGGATGACCTGCTCAAGATTTGAGACGATGAGGAGAAAAATAAGTCTGCTGGAACAGCATTTCAAATCCTAGACAAACGATAAGGTTACAGAGGAGAAGCCATAAAGCTAGAATTGGGCAGAAGGGCCCAGAAAGGGAACAAGTGAGATCAGAGGATTACCATGATCAGGGGCCAGGAGACCTGTGGTTGGTAAAACAGGCCATGGTATGGTCATTCCTCAGACATGTTCCGTGGAGAGGACATCAAAACAAGTAGTCAAGATTCCATTGGTTGGAAGAATTAAGGCGATGGAGTAGCCTAACTTAGAATTGAGGGTGAGACCTGGGGTAATATTTTTTAAGAGCCTGATCATTATTAACTTATGCCAAGGTAAAATAAATGCGGTATTGCTAACCTGACTTTACTAAGGAACAAAACTATTTCATCGAGAAACTGGCAACACATTAAATTGATGGTAGCGTTATGCTCTGGTGGTAAATTTTAATCTATGTTCCACAAAACCATAAAATTCAGTAGGGACCCACACCAGAAGGAAAGAACAAGAGAGGCCAAATGTGTGGGTATCTGAGCTTCCCGCCCCCACTTCAACCAGGAAAAGCTCTACTTTATCTGCTTTAAACATTGGAGCTCTGCCTAACTTTTCATCTGAAAAAATAGATTCTGCTGCTGAAAAGAGTTTGAAAAACAATGCACTAAAAGGCAGTGGTCCCTGGTTGGGGAGCAATATTGCTAGAGAAATTAAAAAAAAAAAAAAGAAATCAGCCCATGACCCCAGGGCTAAGAGTCTTTTAGAGACAATGGAACTTTTTCTGAGCAAAGCGACAGTGTGAAAAGTTGGCCTGTGTGTTGGAGGGCTCCTCCCTGATTTTGTTCATGTTGGGGGACCCATATAATTTATTATTTTAACTGGGAAATTTTTGAGAATAAAGGGGGGTTTTATAGATATGTATTCTTTAGAACAAGAGGCATAAATTATGACTGCCCTGGGCAAATTAAAATGTTTGGTTGCCCTAATTAAAGTGGGTACTTGGCCATATTCACATGGGCCTCGGTGGGAAAGATAGACCCATTTCTAGCTTCACCACTAGTGTAGGTTGCTGTTACAATGACTAAAGATAAGAAAATTAACTTACACAATTGGATTCGCCATATATGACAAGGTCTAGTTTGCTTACTAAATGGGAGAAATGAGAGAAACCTCCTTAAGGTTTCTATCAGTGTCATGATTTTACATTATAGGCCCTCTGCACCCCTGAAGTTGAAAGCAGAGAGAAGGGTTATTGGGAGCACTTAGTCCGTGCGCCGTTGCTCACGGATAGTGACCAGGCATAGATTTGGTTACACTGTCAACCCTTCTCCAATATCATAGAAGACTGCTCGGACTTGTGGATCCATACATTTACACCCTTCCTCTTCCCCACTGTTGGCCACCCCTGCATCCCCAACCCCAGAACAGTCCATATTCTGTTTGGGCAATAGTTAACACGTCTAACCACTTCACCAAAAAACCAACAAGAGGAAACCACCAGTGAAAGAGAAAGTCAGCTTATTACAAGTTCTGGCCAGCGCATACCTTGTGTTTGTTCACTGAGTTTGCCAGAAAGTTCCCTTCTGAGAGCCTAATTTACAACTTTCCTTGAGCTGCCAAATCATCACCCAGTAGACTTCTCCTATTACTTCTACTCTGTTACCCATCGATGGCCTTCTTGTGGAGCATTAAACAAAACACTCAGACCAAGTGGGAGTGTGACCCACACCAGGTACAAATAACCTACCTCTCACTCACCAGCCACCCTTGGCAATTGACAACAATAATGTGGGCAGCTAAGTAATTACAGCAGGGAAGTTGGAAGAAGGAATTTATAAGTTTCAATCTAAATGTTTGGCATGCTTTATCACCAGAAACCCTAGCTCCTAAATGTCAGGAACAAACTATAAAAAGAGTGTGGATTAAAGGCTCTGAGTTACATATCAAAGGTCTTCTCATTGTCAAAAAATATTTTCTTTACTGAGCATTCACAGTGCCTCGCCCTGAAATGATTCCTAGATATCTCTCTGAGGGATATACAAAGAGAGGAGGAATAATAAAAACCAAGAAGCCACTAGCATCAGAGCAAGGCTCCAGTGCAAATATCATTGCCAACAACACGAAATATGGTGGCCATCTGCCTGTGGTACATTTAGGGTTGGTCTTTACTTCCTGTATTTTCTAAATTTTCTGCTATAAATACATATGCCTTTTATAATTAGAAAAATATAAATGTTGATTTTAAAAGGTTGTGGAATCAGGATTCAAATGCAAGTCTGTCTGATGGCCAAGCTTATGTTCTTTCTACTCCTCACTGCTTCTCACCCATGTCCATCGATAACATTCATTTTATTTTTAATAAAATAACAAACAATAAATAGAGCTGAATGTTTGCCAGGTACCTTTCTAAGCATTTAAAATGTATTAACTTGTTTCAGCCTCACATCATGTGAAGACTGATTATATTCTTACTCTACTGATGAGAAAACCAAGGCACAGAAAGGTTAGGTAACTTGCTGAAGGTGGCAAAGCTGGTCAGCGGCAACACTGGGATTCTTCCCCAGCCAGTCTGGCTCCAGGGTCTGTGCTCTTAGTTGCTCTGTTAAGCTGCCTCAACCGTCTCCTACTTAAAGATAGATCTTCTCTGGCCCTCATATCCTTTTGCAACCTGGCCAGGCCCCCGTTGCATGCGTTAGTGTAAGAGCAGGACAGGCAAGCCCAAGGAGCCTTTTTAATCAGAGATGACACAGCTGGATTACCAGTATAATCGGCTATAGCCTCAAAGCCTCATGATGAAAAGGTCCAGATGAAATCAACTCTAGTCAGTGTCCATGATGATGAGGAATTAAAAGATGTGAAGGCTCCTGCTGCCTAAAAAAATAACCATGGCATCATTTTTCTCATCTCATCTAGCACAAATTTAAATTACATTCCTTGAAAATATTTTTTGCCTTCTTGATTTGTCCCTGGTTTTCTGTTTTAGTTCAATTTTACCTTCTCAGTCAACTCTTCCCCATCACACACATGCCATGAACATCCCCCCATGAAGGGACTTGTCCCCCTCCCCATCACACACATGCCAGAGGCAGTCCCCCTCCTATGAAAGCACTTGTCCCCCTCCCCCATCAAACATATGTCATGGGCATCCCCCTCCATAGAGAGACTTTTCCCCCTCCCCATCACACATATGCCGTGGACTGTTTCCCAGTTCATGAAGGGACTTTCCTTCCCCCATCACACAGATGCCATGAACAGTCCCCCACTATGAAAGAACCTGTCCTCCCTCCCCCATCACACACACATCGTGGACATCCCTCCCTGTGAAGGAACTTGTCCCCCTCCCTCATCACAAATATGCCATTGACATCCCTTCTTATTGATGGATTTGTTGACACTGAGCCAGAATCTTGACTTCCTTGAACCTCAGGTTTTTATCTGTGAATTCAGGGGTTTTAATTGAGGATCTCCAATAATGATGACATCTGGCATTTATATAGGAATTTGTGGTTTGTAAGCTCCTTCCTGTTCATTATCTCATTTTACCTTTCCAGTGACTCTGGACAGTGAACATTGGTGGAAATTGGTTATCCCCAATTTCCAGGTGAGAACACCAAGGTTCCTCTCTAACAGACAGGAAAATCCAAATCTACTCATTGTAATCCCATATCTTCTTCCTCTTTGCCTCAAAACATCCCTAAGGGCCCCTTCAAGCTCACAGTCTGCGCTTTTGGGCCTGCCTCCCACATCCCTGTCCCCATTTAGGCAGCACTCATTGTAAAGTTTAAGCTACCTGCTGCAGCATCTTGGTCCCCAGAGACATTTGAGAGGCTCACTTGGTACCTGAGGACTGCAGTGATGAAAGTTCTCCCTTTAATTTTCATCCTCATGAATTTGGAACATTAGAGCCAACCATTGAGACCACAAACAGATGTCAAATTTGGCCTGGATTTTCTGGGAGCAGCATCTGGTTGGCCTTTCCCCAGACGACACTTCCCTCGGCAGCTGATTGTCACGGTGGCTACAAGGGGAAGGTGGGGGGCACTGCGGGGAGCTGCAGGACTATCTGGATCCTGGACTGGCTCACCCTCTGGCTTTCATATGTCTCTTTATGTACATCTGGTGTGTTATTTACCTATATCATGTGCCATACATTGTTAACCTTCCTTCCCAAAGTCCCTGCCTAGATAACAAGTGTCATTGGCTAAAGAGGAAAAGAAGAACTGGCATGACTTAAAATACATGAAAGCTGGGTAAATGAACTTGTATAACTTGCACTGAGCTCGGGCCAAAGTTGTGCACCCTAATCAGGATCAAAATACACTCTATTAACCTGAGCGTCCTAATTTACACATGTGGTCTAGGTGTGATTTTAATAGCAACCCCTTTTGCTCTCAAAAGTTTCCAAGTTTGGACAACAAATTATATGGATACCTTCCGTATGATGTGAGATCAAAGAGTACCAATTACGGAATCTCTAAATGGAGAGGCAGGCTAAAGACCTTTATGTGCAGCCTCCTACCCAGTGCTTGGAAACCTCTTGTAAACATCACAACCGAATTTGAGCTCTACTAGAAGCACATTTGGACTCAACCTTATAAAAATTTCAAGTCGCTTCATCTGTGTCTGTTTTGTCTTTGTAGCTCACGGCATTGGAAGACATCATAAACATTAATGGAGAGCGGGATGCCAGAATAAGTTGATCCAAATGATGCAGGAATATTTAGCAGCAAGGAGAAAGGAATTCACATTTCTCAGTACCCACTATGTGCCATACTTTGTGATAAGATGGTTTCCCTCCAATATATCCTCATTGTCAGCAATGTCGGGAAACAGGAATCATTTCCCCTTCTACAGGTGATAAAACTGAAGCAAGAAACATACAGGCTAACATCAGCTGAGCTGAGATTTGAACTCCACTCTTTTTGACCCTGGAGCTGATGAATGCTGCTTCTAGAGGTTGAGTATCCCTTATCCGAAATCCTTGGAACCAGGAGATTTTTGGATTTGGGAATATTTGCATATACATAATGAGATATCTTGGAGATGGGACCCAAGTCTAAATACAAAATTATTTTGTTGTATATACACCTTGTACACATAGACTGAAGATAATTTTATACAATATTTTAAATAATTTTGTGCGTGAAACAAAGTTGTGACTATGTCTTGACTGTAAGACATCTTGCATGCAACCCATCATATGAGGTCAGGTGCAGAATTTTCCATTTGTGGTGTCATGTTAGTGCTCAAAAATTTTCGGATTTTGGAGCACTTCAGACTTTCGTTTTCCAGACGGGGGATGCTCAACCTGTCTTAGAACCTGTGGTCTCCCATCATGCCTCCCTTCCCCATTCCCTTGCTCCACTGGGGTCTGAGGTGGGAAAGCAAAAGGAGTTGCAGGTAACCCTCACTTTTCACACCAGGCAATCTCTCCCCACAATCTGTCACATTCCTGAAGAACAAGGAAGCAGAGCACTCCACTGAAGAAATTCTGTTAAAATCTATCCCCAACGTATAAGCATCCATCTTTGTCCCAGTCTGGGTCTAACATGAACAAAGTGCTTAAACAATTCAGTAGAGGAGAAAGGGAACTTGGAGCAGCTCTGTCACCCTGAAGTGACACTGCCATGCTGCATTTCCTGTCTGTAATATCTCTTCAGAGCAATTGTTTTCTTCTGTGAGGACACTTCAGAGATTCACAGAGACAGATGCTCTTGTGACTGACCATAGCAAGTATCAAAAGGCCTGGGTGGAATTACGAAGCATTTCTCGTGCACTGCGTATTGGGAAGTGCTTCACAGCTGTGTGGCAGATGTGAGTGGACAGAGGGGCAAGGGAACTGCCCCAAAGGAGGTGGCAGAGGAAGCAACAAGCCAGGGATTGGCTGGCCGGTCCCAGCACAGCAACTGCAGCAGCAGCTTGCTAAGTTTCACAGGTGAAGCCAAAGGCTGGGGGGAATGGAAAACAAATATCACTCCATTAAATTAAGGTCTGAGGAAAACATGATGAGGAAAGTCAATAGTGAATCAAAACATTGAAAAGCCACTAACTTTGACTTTCCATGTGCGTGTGCAAGTTCACGTGTGCATGTGTGTCTGCATGTCCAAGTTCTACACTGATTCAAGAAATAATTATAGAGGGCCTGCCATAGGATGGTGAGCAAAACAGTCTTGGCCTCTGTCCTGATGGAGCATGCAGTATCACAGACTCTATATGTTCTATTTCTAGGCCTTGTATTTTGAGGATATATGCCAGTGGAATGAGAATGGCTCTGTGACCTTGTTTAAGTCCCACCACTGTCTCAGGCAGGGTTTTCCAAAGTGTAGTCCTTATACTATTATGTGGTGAAGATGCTTAATTGTTTTGTAATTATTTAATGTGCGTAGGTATCACATCAAACCCAGTATTTTCAAGGATTTTTATAGCTTAAGACAAGGCTTGTTATAGGCAAGGTGGATCAATTCAAAAAATATATGCTAACAAAATAATAGTGGAGGTGGTACAAAGAAACAGCAAAGGTAGTGAGATGGCTTCACTGGTGTTTGTGAATCACCAAGATAATGCACGTGGAAATAAAAATCAGTGTGGTCCATAGAAATACAAGGGGTTCTAATTACCCCTCAGTGAGCACTTGCTCTCTCACTCACCCCAGCAATGACATATTAAGCAAAGCACTGCCCTGACTGCATATGCTCTTGCCGACAACTTGGCCAGCATTCAGAAGACACTAAGTGTGCTCTGGGAACTTCAGAAGGCACTAACATTCCATGGAGAACTTCACAAAGAGTGAGACCTAGTCCCTGGCCTAAAGAGAGTATAATTTAGTAGGAAAGAGAAGACAAACACACAAATAACTGTAAAATGGGATAAGCCCCAAAGTGGAGGTACAAAGTCCCATAGAAGAGGCTCAATGATAAGTCACGCCTGCCGGGTAAGGTCAAGAAAGACTTCATGGAGATTTGAGATGGCATCTGAGATAAGCCAGGAAAGACGGTAGAATTTCAACAACCAAAAAAGTGGGGAGAGGGATGGGAGGCATTCCAGAGAAGGAGAAATGCTTGAGCAATGGTACAGAGACCAGGAAGTTATATGAGGGCAGAAAGTCCCTGCTGTCTATTTAGCTGGGATATAGAATGCAAGTCAGTTAGATGATTAGGTGGGGTTATAACATAACTAGCCTTAAATAGTGGACTGAGAATTTTCCACTTAATTTAATGCAAATGGCAGGGGAGGGGGCAGGCAATGGAGAGCTGAAAACAGGACTGGAGATGCGCTGGAGGGAAGTAACCCTGGAAATGGGTGAAGTACGGGTTACTGTCACCCCAGCTCTGGTTCTTGTTATTCCCTAGGAGAAGCATAATAGAAGTGTGAATTTAGGGTAGCCAAATGATGACTTTGCAGAGGGAATCTTTAGGACTTGTGACTTGATTAAAAGCAGGGAGATGGATAGGGAACGTCCAAGGATAACTAGATAACTAGAGCTCTCCTGTTCCTCTGACTCATGTGTGCTGAAACTGTAGAGTCAAACAAACACTTGTAAGTGGCGTGATGTAAATCCCTTAGGGGCCCATGCCTGCCTCAAGAGAAGAACGTGTGGTCAGGAAAAACGACCGGGGGAAGTGAAAACGACACAAGACCCAGAGGATAACCCTTATTTTATTCACACATGCAAATTTAGGCACAGCAAAAAGCAAAACGAAGTATACCAAATGTCAAGGGTTAATTATTAATCATTTCTATATTAAATTATGAGTTTTTCAGTAAGACACTTTTTGATAAGAAACTTGAATTACGTTCATAACCATCAAAATAAAGAAAATAAAAGAGACAGATTTTCTTTGGTGGTGGGAGAACATTAAGTATTGTGGAAGCCTGAAAAATGGTCCCCAAAAGAATCTGGTCCTAATCCTTAGAACTTGTGAGTATTATCTTACTTGGAAAAAGGGTTGTTTTAAGATAAGGATCTTGAGTTGGGAAGATTGTCCTGAGTTATTCAGGTAGGCTGTAAATGCCATCACAGGCAACCTTTTTACATGGATATTTGACACAGAGTGGAGGAGACACCCATAGGAGAAGGCTATGTGAAGACATAGCATCGAGACACTTGAAGATATTGGCCTTCAAATGGCACAGCCACAAGCAAAGGAATGCCAGCAGCCACCAGGAAAAAGCAAAGAATGGATTCTCACCTAAAGTCTCCAGAGGGACTGTAGAGTATCCTGCCAACACCTTGATTTTGACTCTGTGAAACTGATGTCAGGCTTCTGGCCTCCAGAACTGTGAGAGAAGAAATTTCTGTTGTTTTAAACCTTCGAATTTGTGGTAATGTGTTAGAGCAGCCACAGGAAACTCATATTCTAAACTAGCAACTATGAAATGAGAATTTCTAGTGTTCAGCTAAGATACCACCGCAGAAGCAGCTGGATAATATCAGATGAGCCGAAAACTTCTCTTACCCCATTTCCTTATCCATAAAATTAGCAAATAATACCTGTCTTGCAGAGTTAATTTTAAAGTTATACAAGTAAATACACTTTGAAAGTGACAAGTACTAGAAAAATGTAGGGAATTATCCTACAAGTCTGGGTATCCCCACCACCCAAGGCACATGAATGATGCACAATAAAATATACAATTGGTTAGAAATAGAACAAAGTGTTGAAAGTGCTTCAAAGCTCGAAATGTAGGGCATGAGGAATGAAGGAAATTCAGTTCAGGAATAAAATATTTATTCAGCATCACTAATAAGCCAGGCACTCTGCCAGAACCCAAAGGTATAAAGAGGAACAAATGATAATTCCTGCCCTGTGGATGGCTTATAGTCTAGGGTAGCATTTTTACAGTGTGTTCACAGACCACTAAGCTCTCAAATTTCTATTTAAAGATGCCAAAGGACCCAAGATCAAGTGCTATATTCTAATATCTACCCTCTCCATTTCCTACCCCCTCCCACAACCACACTTTCTGTAGACTCACAATGTGTTAGTTAATTTAAGGCATTGAGTCCTGTTGTTAATAAGCTGACTTGCCCTTAATTATCACAGGCTTTTCCAAATTTCCTTGACATGCACTAACCATTTAACCTTGGGGAAAAGAATGGAATAACATTCTTGCCTGCCTGTTGTAGCTGTCATCATATTTAAATGTAATAAAACATGGAAAGTGTTTAATAATTATGGTGCTCTAGGCAAAATAGCAGTCCTTCAAAAATGCCCATGCCCTAATCTCCAGAACCTGTGAATATGTTACCTGACATTGTAAAGCAACCTTGTAGGTGTGATTAAAGTTACAAGCTCTGAGAAGAGAAAATTACTCTGGATTATCTGGGTGGGCCCAGCTTAATCATATGAACCCTTAAAAGTGGAGAATGTTTTCCAGCTAAGGTCAGAGAAAGAGACTTGACAAAGGAAGAAGGGTCATAGGGATGTGATACCGCTAGCTTTAGAGATGAAGGAAGAGGACCACAGCCAAGAAATGTGGGTAGCCTCTGAACACAATACAAGGCAAGGACACGGGCTCTCTCCTTGAGCCTCTAGAAGGAGCACAGCCATAAGGCATTCTTAAACTATGTCGCTTACCTTACCTACCTCATCCACTTACTACTTGTATGGCTAATGGCATGAGGAAGTCACTAAAACTCTCCGAGCCTTCCTGGCCTCCACTTAAATGGGAGTGGTACCCACAGAGGGTCAGGAGGCTCAATCAAATCTCAAATTCATTATCTCTTGCTTCTCATGCACAAGTCAGTGTCAGCAGGAGGCATCAGTGCTTCTGCAAAAATAACTAATTCAACATTACTTTGTCAGATCACAACCCTTCTTTGCTAAAACCTTCCAGAGGCTCCCTGTCTCACTCACAGAACAACCTCATGGACTTCCTCTGTTCTCAGGATTCTCATGACACAATATGACCCCATTTCCTCTGACTATAGGTCCTTCCTCTCTCCCCCTTCCTGATGGTGCTCCAGCCATACTGGCCACCTTGCTGTTCCTGAGGCACACCAGGCAGCTTCCAGCCTCAGGACATTTGCACTTGCTGTTTTCTCTGCTTAGAGCCCTCTTCCCCCATATCCACATAGCTTGCTCCCTCAACTCCTTTAGATCTTCATTCGGCTATTACCTTCTTCCTGAGGCCTTCCCTAACAACCCTATGAAAATTGCAATACCTGCCAGCCAAACATTCCCCATCCTCCCTTCACTTTAATTTCCGCCATAGTAATTTCATCTTCTCACATGCTGCATATTTAACTGTTTTGTTTACTTTCTTTCCTCCATTGGAATATAAGCTCTATCAGGGCTTTTCATGAAGGACATGCAAGTAGATGCTTGATAAATATTTGTTGGATAAATAAATCAGTGCATATACCAATCTGAAGTCACAAAATCAATATGAGCATCACCTTCCACTAAAGACATATCCTTTCAGTTATCGATGAAAAATGAAGTTGAAAACACAATAATCAGCCTGTCATTGAACAATGCAGCTGCAGCTAAGATCAAGTTCTTGACTGACTTTGCCGAGCCCAACCAATTCAAAGGAAGAATAAAAACATGGTCAAGGGACCCAAGACCCAGCTCTTATCCCCTACTCAGAGAAAACCCAGAGAGAACCAGCCTTCTGATGTCTTGTCCTTCCTGGTTTTGACCAACCTCTAAAAACCATAAGAACAGTTTGTCTCAGTATTTCAGTACTTCCGCTTCCAGGCCCAGGAAAGAGCAGGAAGTGCAGGGGCGTGTGAAAATCAAGAAAAAAGAAGAATTAAACCCGCTACACATGAAGCGCTCAAAGACTTCCTCTGTAACCTGTTGCAGCACACGAGTTTCAATGTGCTTTCACTGAGAGCCCAGGGGGACTGTGCTGTCCCCAGAATTTCGCACCATGCCCCACACTCTCAATGAACACTTGTTGCCTAAAAAAAAAAAATTAAATTTTAAGACCTTCAGTTTCTCTATTTGTATAAAGTGATTATAAAACCTACCTTATGGAGCTGTCTGATGATCACATATGAAATCGCATATGTTAAGTGCTTATGCAGCGTCTGGCACATGATCAGCATTAATTTTATGTGAACTGCCATTTTGATGGCAGTGGTGGCGATCTGATGGTGGAGGAGGTTTAGTTAGCGCTGGGTAGATTGTAACATATACCTATCCTTAATGATTTGTTCAACCTGGAATTTTGGACGGAGCCTGGGCCTGAGGAGTTGAACCTTAGAGTGATCCATTTCTCTTGGAAAAGTCCTGTTCAGTTTGAGCAAGAAACTCTGGAAAGGGGAAGGATGTATTTTAATCCCAGCTACCAGGGTGACAGGCAGCAGAACTGAAACAGCATGACTAAGCACAGACCATCTCCTTTCATTACATGGGGGGCTGAGGTCTTTCCTCTCTACTGCCAGGGACTGGAGAAAGGAAAGATACCCAGTTTAATTGCATCTGATAAACGGATAGTAAAGTCCAAGAGTAGACAATTGGAATATTTCCCCAGCCTTTTTCCTGTTAGGTTCTCAAAGCTAGAAAAAAAATGCTGAATGTCTTTTCCCTAACTTCATATCGCCATATGAAGCCCAGCTAAGTTTCCCTTGAAGTTCACTAGCCCATTTCCTCTGTAGGTCTACAGGGGCCACCTGCCAATGTGCAGGGATTAAATGAAGAAATAAAGACCTAAGGCCTTTCTAGAAGCTAAAAACCCTAGGACTCCCTAAACACTTTGGAGTTGCAGCTCCCATTGGTTAAGAGGTATGGATCGCATAGTTTCAAGCTGAGCCATGCTTTTCGGAATACTCTGCTTTTTCTCATCTTTTTCCACTATAGTAATACTATAAATGAGATCTCTTCCAGAAATAAAGGCAGAAAGCCCCAAGCTCGATGCTAAAGATGTTTGTGACAGAGTTCTGCAAGAATAGGATATTTGCAGTCTCGTCTGCGATAATCATTTCAGAAGTGGCTGCTGATACTGGTAGGTATGCAGTCAGCAATTGTGGTGGAAACGGGGAATGTCTGCTCAAAGAGACAGAATGTGCAATGACTCAAATGATTTCCAGCAATTGTCAATACTATTTGATGTTAGTCATTTATGCTACCTTTTTCTTATTTATAGATTCCTAGCTTTAAATTAACCTCCCTGATATATGGAAGTAATTTGGTCAGTAATAAGTTCCTTTGTTTTGGGTTTTTTGTTGTTTTTTTTTTTTAGGACTATGTGGCAGAGGAGACTCCTGACTTTCACTTCTCTAAATAACCAACAACTCCTCACTGTCCCTGTGTAAAGCTATCATGGCTGTGGGGAAGGAGAGACACTTCAAGGACAGCTCAGAGCAAAGTACCAGTTTAAAATCTTCTCACGAGAAGAGCAGCATCCTTCACTCATTTGTCCTTTCACTGAGGGTGCACTACATGTACTCACTGTGCTAGATATTGGGAATACAGGGCTGAGTGAGACATGGGCAGACTCCCTGAGAGGTAACACTCAGACTACATCTCAAAGGATAACTAGATATCCGCCAATCAAGATGGAGCAGCAGGCCAGGTATACAGGCTCAGCATCACTTTGGGCGTTGCTTTATCTTAAAAAGCTGCCTGAACCACTTAAAGGGACCCACTGCTGCCTTCAAAAGAGTACAGTGATATGCATCTTCCTGAGGTCTTTCTAAGCCACTTCTGGAGCTAGATATATGTTTCTCAGATGTCTCTGAAACAAGGTTTCCAGGCAACTACATCTGAGGCCATTGGTGCTGCAATATGACTGAAAGGAAAGAGGGTGTGTACTTCAACAGCCTTGCTGTAAGCAAGGTGGCTTCATCCCCTCCCCCCACCTGAAATTGAGAAACACAGAAGTGACCACAGTCCTAGGCCACTGTGTGCAAAAATGGGAAATGTCACTCATCAGGTCCTCTCCCACGTTTAACCAGAATCATCAGCCTATAGATTCGGGAACTGAGTGGCTTGACCATTTTGCACGTAAGCCATATGCAATTGGTCCAAAGGAGACCAGTGAGCAACAATTCAATTTAGAGTTCACTGAACTCTCTGGTTTGGGAAGGAAATTGCTAGTAATCAATTGCAGCAAGCATACAGGCTCAGGGCCAGGAAGAGAAAAATCACTTTAATGGGCAAAGCAGATGTTGCTAAATTCATTGCAAAAGTGAGATGGGCACAGAGCCAGGCCTTGCATGAGAGATGCTGATCTGTTCTCCTGAATGAACAAAACAGAGACATTTCAAAAAGGGGGGTTTCTATGAAAGAAGCCAGAGGTCTGTGTCCCTGTTAGAGTAAATAAAAGAAAATGCACCCAGGTGTTCAGGTCCCCCATACCACCACAGGACTTAAAGTTGTTAACATCTTACGAGGATTTTTAAACAAATCCAGAATACTAGCAAAAACTGCCTGGGGAGTCTTCATTCGGTTCTAAGGAGAGTATGTGGTAGAGTAGAGAGAACACGGGCTTTGGCATCAGATCTGTTTCTTCCATGAATTAGTTGCTTCCACCACCAAGAAGTTGTATGACTTGGGCAAAGTTCTTAACACCTCTCAGTCTCAGTTTCCTCCACTGTAAAATGGGCCTAATGTCATTTACCTTATTAGAGCAGTTGTGAGGACTAGTGATAATGTCTGTAAAGTATGGTAGAGAAATGCACTTAAGCAATAACATGTTTTCAGAACCATGAAAAGACTAGTGACACTAGGATGTGGGGAGAATTGGTTAATGACAGGGCAGGGTGGGGTGGGATGGGGAGAATTTCTGGCCCAATATTGACCAGCTTTGGCACGTGCTCTTGGTGAAGGATTACTTCACAGGTCACATGTTTCTTTGCATGCTTAGGCTGATAAAACATCTCTCAAGAATATAAGAGCTCAGCAAGTGTAGGAGCATAGCCCAAGAAAGGTCACTGTGTGTACTTAGAACATTTTCATGGAGTAGCTTCAAATGCAAGCCTCCTAAAAGAGAGTTGATTCTGATTCCCCAAATCTGAAATGTTCTTTACTTACCTAATTCCCACTCATCCTTCAAGGCCCAACCAGAGTCCCTCCTCTGAGAATCATCCCAAATTCCTCTGGAGCTCACCATCTCTACCTACTCACATATTGCCCAGTTTATATCAGCTGCCTTCAATCCTTCCTGGAACAAGACATTAATCCCATTCAGTAAAAACTTTAAATGCTACTTACTCAATTCTTTGGCCTGTCATAGTAAAGTGTCATACACTGATCATCACCTGAATCATGTGGTTCTACCCCAAATACTTAGCAACTTCCTAGAGTTTAGATATTGAACTTGCACTAATTAAAATCTCTAAATCAGAAGGCAGAGAGAGCTGAGGGCTCTGACACTTGACTAGTTGTGTGAGCTTGGGCCAAGTTTCATGGCCTTCTCAAGCCTTAGTTCTCTCATCTGTATACTGGAGATAATAATAGCACCTTCCTCCTAGGACTTGTGTGAGACTTTCGTGAGCTCGGTCCTGCAAAGTGCTCAGCACTACATTGTTAGCTGAGTAGTAACAGTCACTTTCCTGAAAGCTTCTTCACCCAGAGGGGCTAGCCCATGCCTGTGCACAAAGAATGTCAAATTACATTCACACCCCCTGAGATTTCCAAGCTACAGGCCATTTTCACAGTGGCCACTCTCCAGAAAGCTAAGTCCTGCTGAAAGTATGTTTCCAAGTTGCCATCACCTTTAGAATATTTCTGATAAGCAAGCAAAACTGCCTGTGGCCTTTGGCAGTGAATTTCTGGGGGCTGGTAAGAGGAGGATGTTTACCAGAGCACAAAGGCCAGGTCATAAGCAGAGAATATTTTGGCCCAGACAGATCCCAGAGAAGGCATTTTTGCCAAGCACAGACTCCATTCTCAGGTCCTGAAGTCAGCATTAGACACTAAACAAACCTTCCCGGGTTCACATTTGTTTACTTTTGGCCAAATGCAACTTCCTGTTTGAAAGGAAAAGGGCAGTAAAGCTTTCTATAGCCTTCTTGGACATAAAGGCTCTACTTGAAACAATTGATTTGCTAAGGATAAATGAATCAAACGTACACAATGGGGATCTCCCCTCCCCTCAAAATGTTCATGTTTCAACAGGGAAAGTGCTCAACAAAACCAAAACAAATATTTTTTCAACTGCTGGCCAATGAAGATTGTTTAGGCCATTTCTTCTCCTGAGAGCAAGAAAAACAGACATCAGGAGAGAGCTGAGTTACATGTGCTGTGTCAGAGAAGTCACTGCGACACACTTGGGGGTTGAGATTTCAGTTACACAGAAAGTCACAAAGTTGAAGTTCCCACAGCCACTCAAACCACATTCCCTAGCATGAACACAGAACAACCAGCTCTTTCATTACGTGACTACGTCCCAAACCACGTCCTTCAGGATCCTGAAATTCCCTCGGATGCCCATGCGCCCTGCACCTAGGTTTGAAAACTGACTACCAACCCCACATAAATCCACCATAAGATTTTACAAGGATTCAAAATAACTTACTCTGTGTGAGGAGGTGGGGGATGGGGAGGGGAGGTCTGTACTTTTAGAGCATCTAGCAAAGTTAGCATAAAATATAGACTTTAACTTGGGTTTATATATAAAATGAAGGTGCTCTCTACAAATCTTGAATCTCCTTGTCATAAAATATTAAATTTGTAAAGGACCTTAAAAATCTTCTGGTCAACCTCCCCCTATACACAAATATATAAATAATATAGATGAGGAGTAAAGAGGTCGGGAGACATTTCCTCCTTAGACTGTAGACGTCTTGCTTCTTAGGGCAAGAACTATTTTGCTTATCTTCTTATTCTTTAACACAGCATGAACACAATAAAGACTCAGGAAGAAAGTGACAAATGAAGAAGTTAATGAGCTGCCCTGGTCTGCAAAGTCAGGCTCAGCACACAGGACTCTCTCAATGCTGTGCACTCTGCCCAGTCCTATCCCTGTATTTCCACTAGATTGTAATCTCCTTGAGGGCTGAATATGTCATTTATTTGTTTTTTTGGCCATCATACCCTGTGCATTGAACTTTGCAAGTATTCAATAAAAACATTTTGAATGAGTAAAGAAATTAATGAATGACTGAGTAGATGAAAACACACAAAGGAGATAACTAAATATCTTTCTTGAATAATTTCAATATTACTTTGCCCCAAAGGGGAAATTCTTCCAGTTTCTAGGATGCTGGATTTAAGGAGAAGTAGATTTGTGTATATTCCATACATTCCTTTGACCCTTCCCTATTGGTGTCCCACTGGACAATTATAAAACGAGAAAGGGGCCGGGCATGGTGGTTCACACCTGTAATCCCAGCACTTTGGGAGGTCAAGGTGGGCAGATCACCTGAAGTCAGGAGTTCGAGATCAGCCTGGCCAACATGGTGAAACCCCGTCTCTACCAAAGCTAGTCGGGCGTGGTGGCACACACCTGTAGTCCCAGCTACTCAGGAGGCTGAGGCAGGAGAATAGCTTGAATCCGGGAGGCAGAGGTTGCGGTGAGCTGAGATCTCGCCATTGCACTCCAGCCTGGGCAACAGAGTGAGACTCTATCTTAAAAATAAATAAAACGAGAAAGGTAATTATAACAGGAAACATCACTTCCTCCCTCACAGTGCAGCCAGTTCTCTTCAAGCTCATTACCTACTTCAACTTTAATGAAAATGAGTTCGTCTTGGCCCACAAGGCCTTTACATCTGGCTCCAACCTGTCCATCTGTGGCCACCCTACCATGTTTTTAGACTTAAAGAGATCTTTCATGACTTTACGTTCGTGGGCATGCTGCGACCTCCGTCTAGAATACACTTCACCATCACCATGATTACCATGACTGCTACCATCACCACAGCAACCTGGCCACTGATGCCATCACCCTTTTCACCACTCCCACCCACTTCCACCATCACTGTCATCACCACCACCATCACCATCTCCCATCATCGCCACCCACGTCATTCAAAGCCAGCATCACCACCACCACCACCATCACTGCCCTCCATCACCCTCACCACCAATTACTGCCACCTTGCCACCACCCCCTTGAACTTAAAAAATTCTTCTTCCTCTCTTAAGAGCCAGCTCCAGTGGAACCTCCTAAATCTCTCCAGAATTTGGTGCCCAGCCCTTCTCTGAGCTCCAACAGTTACTTGTTCTCCACTACCTGATTGCATCCAGCATATTGCATTGTAGCTTATTCAATAGCATGGCCTTTCTAGCAGCCCATAAGCTCTGCTGCACCCTGAATCCTTGCTTGAAAGGAAATATTTACAGAGTGTCTGACCACAGATCTCAGAGCAATGAGGGTCAAAAGAAAGGGAGTGTGCGAAGACTCCACAGAGAGGAGGCTGGGGTGCTTCTGCCCAGGCTATGGCTACAAGGTTTCAAGAGTTACCAACGTTGCCCATAAACAAAGATGTGGTATGAACTGCTTCTATAGCCTGCCTCTTCCGTCTTTCTAGATTTCTCACTTTCATTTGAATTGTCATTAAACAAAATTACATACCACCTATTCAGTACTAAGATCACAGGCATGCTGGGGAGGAAAACAGCCAGACCACTCTCATGCTGGACTAGAATTGGGTGGGTGGGGCTGGACAGGAAGGGTGTTTGAGGGTCGGGGAAGGCTCCCAGAGGAAGTGAGGTCTAGGCTGAGGTCTGACAGCTGGGTGAGGACTAACCAGGTAAGGAGAGAGGAGAAGAGGTGCTCCATGATGAAGACACGGGTCTCTCTGTTTTGCGAACAAGCCAAGCTTGTTCTCTCATCCAGCCCCTTGTACTTTCCATTTCCTCTGCCTGGATCCTTCTGCTCCCAGATCTTTACATGGACAGCTTTTCTTCATTCAAGTCTCAGCTCAGATGTCACCTAGGCAGAGAAACCTTCCATTTCCCACTGTCTAGCTCAGTGCTTCTCAAACATTAGCATGCAAAGAAATGACAAGGGGATCCTGTTACAATGATGATTCTGAATCAGTAGGTCTAGGCCGTCTTCTGAGATTCTGCATTTTTAACAAACTGATTGCTCATATGTTGTTGTTGACTCAAAGATCATGCTTTGGGTAGCTCTAGCTGAAAATCGTCATGTCTGATTTTCTTCATAGCTCTTATCGTTACATAAAATACCTTGTTCATTATTTTTTTCTAGTTACTGTTCTCATATATACACAAACCACCCCTAGAATGTGAGTTCCATGAAATCAGGTATATGTTTTGCCTTTTACACCACCGTATCCTCAGGACTTGCTTATAGTAATTGCATACCAAATATGAATGAATGTGTGAATAAATGAAGGATTTGGAGTTTGGCCTTCTAGCCCAGGGCTTCACTTCCCTCCCACAACCTAGGCCTCCATAATAGGACATCAGCACTTTGTGCCAAAGACCACTGTAGGAAATCTCGAGAATAAGCCTATGCCATAACTGTGGGTCAGCATGTAGTCTTGGTTTTATTGTTCCTTCCTCTTTATTTCACCCCAGCAGCCATCATGAGCTCATCCCAGCCCTGGGAACACGCCGTCCTTTCCTGCTCAACTTCTAATATAAGCCCTTAGTGTTTCTGGTGAAAGCTACTCTCTCCACCTGAACCCTGACACAATGAAATTCTTGGATTCTGCACCATCTCTTCTTTCATCTTTCCGATTTTTCCTAGGCCCTATGACCTATAGTCAACCTATGCTCTCAAAATTCTTAAAAAGCCTTCTCTCTAGTCAGATAATGTATCTCATTCTGCTGCTCAAGGAGACTTTCAACCTAGGATTGAGCATACTTTCCAATTTTTTCATTTTCCAAACTAGCTTTCTGTTTCTAAACACCCCCTTTTTTCTCCCTGCCCCCAGCGGGCACAGATTACCATTGCCAAGCATTAGCAAGCATCACCTCAAGGTGAAGTGCTGTGCCTGGTTTGGGGAACTACAAAGGACAGACATGACCCCAGTCCCTGGAGACCTGAAATCTCAACAAGAGGGAAAGCAGCCCACACACAAGAAGAGAACTAATATCCAGTGCAAGGTGTAAAAAGTGTCCATTTGCGTGAGTGTGCCACACAAAAACGAGGTGGGCCCAGGAAACCCACTGTCTTGACGTAACTTTGCCCTCCTGGTGATCCCCACAGGCTATTCCTTCTTCTTCTACAGCAACTCTTCCTCTCCTCACCTCTAAATGCTGACACTTTCAGGGTTTAGCCATGGGCCTTTTGCTCTTCCATCTACATACTCTCCTGCTCTGGGAAATCTCAGCCATTTATATGACTTTAAATACCATCTCTATGCTGACAACTGCCAGATTTCTATCTTTATTCCAGACTCTTCTTTGAAAGACAAGGTCACAAAACCAACTGTTTGGTTAACATTGCAATGTGGATATCTAACAGATATCTCAAGCTTTAACTATCCAAAATGGAAGTCTTGGATTTCATCTTCTCTCTCTCTCTCTCTCTCTCTCTCTCTGTCTCTCTCTCTCTCTCTCTCTCACACACACACACACACACACACACACAGAGACACAAACATATACATACTGACATACACAACCTCCATTTAAAATCTGTTCCTCACCCAGTCTTCCATTTAAACAGTTGTTTGAGGGAAGGGGGAAAAAATAGAATTATCCTATCTTGCTTCTCCCACATCCAATCTGAATCAGTTAGAAATAAGTTTGGTGATACATAAACTAAATTTAACTTACAATTATTTAACCAAATAAGAGTTTAATTTTTTTTTCCACAAGGGAATTCCAAAGGAAGGCAGTCCAGGGTGAGATGGGGACTCTGAATCAAAGATCACGCATGCTGTTTAATCTTTCTGTTTCCTTCATGGTGACTTTCTCCTCAGGCTTTTTGTCTCTTGTCCTCAAAGTAGCTACTCCAAATGGCATCTGCAATTCAAGCAAGAAGAAGAGGAAGAACAAAGGGAAAAATTTATTTGGCAGTTAAATCCACTTCCTTTTAAAGAGCTTTTCCAGAATCCCCTATGCAGCATTTCCCTCTTACATCTCATTGGTCTGAACTATATCACATGACTACCCTTAGTTGCAAGAGAAGCTGGAAAATACAGAATTTTCTTTTTAGTTAGGTACATTGTCACCCCCAAACCACACTTACATTATAAATGTTACATTATTTATATTCTATAACATTATATTAATAGGAAAGAAAGGGAGAATGGATATTAGGAAATCAATCTACAATGTCAACCACAAAATCCATCAGCAAATCCTGCTATTGTCTGTCCTCCAAAAACCATCATGAATTCATCTCTTCCTCTCCATCCACACTGCCAACAGTACCATGATGCCTCCTGCCAAGTTACTGCAATAGACTTTTAACTTGCTTCTTCAACTGCCAACCTCCAACCCTTTTTCCACCTAAAAGTCAGGTGGGGACATATTTAAAGGCTATCTTAGGTCATGTAATTCTTCCGTTAAAATTCCCGTTATTTGCCACTTCATGAAAATAAAATCCAAGCATTTATCATAACCCACAGGCCCTGTATGATGTCATCCCTGCCTACTTCTCCAGTTTTCTTCCATCACACTCTTATTTATTTATTCATGCATTCATTCACTCGAACATATTTACTGAGTGCCTACTATGTTCAAAGCACTGTTTTAGACACTGAGGATAAAGTAGTAAAGAAATCAGACAAAAATACCTTCCTTCCTGAATTTTGCACTCTAGCAGAGGGAGACAAATAATATACAAAATGCATCAGTGAAACATTTAGCACTTGAGTGGTCATTAGTCATCCACTCTGCTCCAGCCTCGCTGGGCTTGCTTCAGTTCTTCCAACTCTTCTAGCTGAGGACCTCTGCCTAAAAAGCTCTTCCCTCTTCATTCCCACAGTCCTTCCCTTATATTCTTCAAGTGTCAGCTCAAAGGGCACTTCTCCCGAGAGGCCTTCTTTGACCACCCATCCTGAAATAGGGCCACTCGTTATCCTCTTTCATTGCACTTACCACATTTTGAAATTGGATGGATAGATGGATGTATGAACTCCATATGTTTACTTGCTTACTATCAGGCTCTCACTGAAGATTTACCTGTGTAATTAAAGAGACCATGTCTATTCTGTTCACCATTCTAATCCAAGGGCATAGAACAGTCAGTGCCTGGCAGATGGAGGCCCTTAATAAATATTTGTTGATAGATTAATAAATCAGTGAATGAGTGAAATGGGTGTGCAATGGGCCTTTGAAAGGCAGTATCAGTACTTCAATAGCAGAGATTGGGGGGAAAAGGCATTCTTAGACAGGTGGAACTATATGGGTAAAAACTGAAAGGCAGCAATTGGCACCAATTGACTTGGTGTGGTTGACAGTCAATTAGCCATTTTTAACTAGAGTCTTAAGAGATGATACTAGAGGGGAAGATTAGGGACAGTTGAGAGGAGGTCTCTAATGCTGGGCCTTACTTTGGGCAGTATCAAAAATAAACAAATAGAGAGCAAACACGCCATCACAGAACAACATAATATCTCTCTGGAGCAGCCTCCAGACCCAACCCAAAATCATCACAACAAGCACTCAGAGAAATCACAAGAGATGAGAAAAGTCCAAAAACTTGGGATTCCCCATGCCAGGCATACAAATCATCTCTTCATCAATTTAGTATTTTTTAAAATATCTTTTCTGGCTGGGCACAGTGGCTTACACCTGTAATCCCTGCACTTTGGGAGACTGAGGCAGGATGATCACTTGAGGCCAGGAGTTAGAGATCAGTCTGGGCAACACAGGGAGACCCCATCCCTACAAAATAAAATAAAATAAAATATTAGCTGGGCATGGTGGTGCGCACCTGTAGTCCTAGCTACTTGGCAGACTAAGGTGGGAGGATTGCTTGAGCCCAGGAGTTGGAGGATGCAGTGAGCTATGATTACACAACTACACTCCAGCCTGGAGGACAGAGCAAGACTCTATCTCTTAAAAAAAATTAATTAATTAAAAACCAAAAGTTATCTCTTCTGATTATAGAAGCAATACATATTTATTATAGAAAATTTAAAAAGCACAAAAAAAATAAAAAAATAAATTAAGTATTAGTACTGTGAACATTAATACAGGCTTTTGTCCAAAAGGGAGCATCCTTCCTCAACAGTCTGCATAGCACATGGAAGGGGTGGCAACACCAGTGACTGTACAGCTGGGCCAACCAAAAGAGATGAATTGCTAACCTTGACTCCAATGAGTCCCTGGTGTGTGACATTGGAAAGTCACTTTCTGCCTCTACCCTCAGTTTCCTCATTAGTCAAACACGGATTTTTCTGATTTGTGATTTTTAAAGTGTGCCTTGGGGCTTTGTGACACCCTTTTAGAACAGGTGGGGGAAAGGGCTCAAACTGTCCTGCCTGTCCTCCAGCCAGCATAGAACCACATTACCTGTTTTCCATTTGGGGTTTTGGCATAAATTTGGTAGTATGTTGGATTGTTGTTGTTGTTGTTGTTTGTTGTTGCTTTGTTTTGTTTTAAACTACACATCAGGAGACATGAGGTTGCAATTCATTTTTCCAAATACTCAATAAAGTTACTTCCAACTCTAACTTTTGATGATGATTCTAATTCCCTTCTGACATAAATTAATATAGTCATGAACTAGGTGTAACTATAAACTCCTTTTCCTATGGGCCTACAGGAACTTTCCTAAAGATTCTAAAAGTATCAAGTCATTCTAAATGGAATAACTTATACCAGATCATCTATGGCTGCGGACCTTGAACAAATTGCTTAACCTCCCCATGCTTCAATCTCCTCATCTATAAAATGGGGATCATATAACCCACTCTATTGGATGCAGGGGAAATGAAATTGTATCTCATACACAAAAGTGCCTAGCACACAACAAGGAATAGAGCCGTAGCTTACATTTCCCGACTTCTTACTGTGAGCCAGGATCTGAGCTACATGTTTGGTATGCATTCCTTCATCCCGTCTACACACAAGCCTATGCAATAGGCCCTTTTTTTTTTTATTATTGTCTATTATTTCCCCATTTTACAGATGAGAAACTGAGGCTTAATGACATTAGGTAACTTTTTTCCATTTCACCCAGAGCTTGGGTTTGAACCTAGGTAATCAGATTCATGAGGCTATGCTATAAAATGAATAACAGTAAAAAGCATAATACTAACTGTAACTCAACTATTTTGAGGGTTTGCTCTACAGGAGATACTATTATAAAAGCTTTGTCTTATTTAGTTCTCACATGGATCCAATGGAGCGAGCATTGACTTTACAGATTAGAAAACTGAGACACAGAGACACTAAATGCTGTATCTCCACTGCCTTTTAAGTTGACTGCTTAGAACTGACTCCAACTCCTTAGGTAGCTTCCCTACTGAACATTAGGAGCCTGTGCAACTAATTGTCTAACTGATCCTTCTGAAAATATAGAATAAGAAGCATCCTCTAAAATGAAAACTCCCAGGGAAGGGGTACATTAACTCAGGATTTACAACAGCAAAAGGTAATCATCAAAGACTCCTTTCCTTCCCGCTCCTGCAAATCCAATCAATTATGGGTCCTGCAGTCTCACCTCCTAAATATTTCTCCACTCATTCCTTTCGCTCATTCCCACCTTGGCTGCTCCGGTTTGTGCCATTCTGTCTGTCAAAAGCCTCCTGCCTGCTCTCCCTGCTCCAGTCTTGACCTCCAACCACCTTACACCCTCACTCTATACTGTAATTTCCCCACTAAAATCCTTTTAGTGCCCCCACACTATGTCCTACAGAATAAAACCCAAGCTCCACACGCCCACATTTGTCTCCAGCCTCATTTCCTAGTGTAAAATGCATATTCCAACATCAGGAAACCACTCATAGGTCCTCTCACCACATGGTCGTTTCCCACCTTTGTATATTTAGTATATGTTCTCTTTGCATAGAAATCCTTTCCCATCTTTCCACGTGTAGCTAACTCTTTGCTCTTCCTTCCTTGAATAGCCAGGCTAATCCATGTACACTCCTCCAGGCTCCTAATGAGCCCTGCACTCTTAGCACATTGAGTTAAATGTATGTCCTAACAGGACTGTCTACCCCATGGCATAGCACATTTCCTGAGAGCAGGGACAATTGGGGCTTTATTCTTCTCTGTATCCATGACATCTATATGTGCAGTATGCAGCATGTAATAAGCACTCAATAAATATTTGCTAAAGAATCAAATCAGGCCAGGCATGGTGGCTCATGCCTGTAATCCTAGCACTTTGGGAGGCCAAGGTAGGAGGATCCCTTGAGCCCAGGAGTTTAAGACTAGCCTGGGCAATATAGGGAGACCCCATCTCTAGAAAAAACTTCAAAAATTAGCCAGGTGTGGTGGCATGCTCCTGTAATCCCAGCTACTTGGGAGGCTGAGGTGAGAGGACCTCTTAGTCTGAGAGGCCAGGGCTGCAGCAAGCCATGATCGCACCACTGCACTCCAGCCTGGGCAACAGAGTGAGACCCTGTCTCAAAAAATAAAAATTAAAAAAGAATCACACCAAAGTCAAGGAATTAAAGATTGTAGTGGACAGTATGCAAATTCTTAGCATGTTTTTAGCTATAGGTAACATTCAGTGAACTCTCCCAAGTTTGAATAATTGTATTAAGCAGCTACCATGAACCATTTGCCATTCTAAGCCTTTACCTCATGTCTTCGTAATAGTCCCACGAATTGCATGCTGCTACTATTCCCATTTTACAGATGTGAAAACTGAGAGAGATTAAACAACTTTTGCAGGGCCACAGATCTAGCAAGTAGAAGGGCTGTAGTTTGAATCTGACTCCAGGGTCAAGTTCTTAGCTAATTACCACAAGACTAAAATGTCAGCCAACAAGTGTATATCATAAGCTCAAGGCAAGAGCTGCCAGTAGTTCACACCTGGGGGCAAAAATATGGAGATAACATCTGTCTTAGGAAGAAAGCCGAGAGAGACGTGTACTCCGAGTCAAATGGCAGGGCGTGGCTGGTGTCAAGAAGAGACACTCCTAAGCCATATACATTGATATGTAGCTCCAATCCTCCAAAATGAGGGATTGCTGCTATGCCCAGGTCCACTTACCCACTGTTGAGCAGTTAAAGACTAAGGCCTTGAGTCAAACAGATCTAGGTTTAAATTCCAATTCCATTCATTGCAAATCACTGGTCTTCTCCAAAACTCAATATCCTCATCTGTAAGCTAGAGATACTTAACCAGTTTTGAGGATTAAATGAAATAATACAATATATCTAGTGATATAGTATACCACTATATTAAATCTAGTGATATATTATATCATTATATTATATCTAGTGATATATTATATCATTATATTATATCTAGTGATGTAAGTGCCTAACACATACAAGGCACTGAAAACAGCTACTTTATTACTATGTTGTTGACTATTATCATACAAGCACTGAATCAGAAATCATTCCAGGAAGTGGGGAAGTCACACAGTATGCATAGGTGCTGGGAATCCATCCCTCCATTTGGGGAATAGGGATATGGTCTGAGAAGACATTCTGAGCACTGTGTATAGTCAGAGACTGCTGATGGTGCATGCTTTATAAGTGGGGTGGGAGTAGCCCAGCAGTGTGCATGGTGTAGCCTGAGAAAGAGGCCCTGGAAGCTTCTGGCTTCATACTTTTTAATTTCATTTTAATAACTAATGAATCAGAAATATAAGGATGGATCAGAAAATCAGAGCTGTTTCCTAAATATCCATCTTTGCCAGTCTTTGATCAGAGCAACACTGAAGAATAATTTTCTGCCTGGTCCCACTGAAATGTGATATTTGCATCTTCTGAAGTCTTATCACTGGTCCTTGCAAAGACTAGATAAACCTGGTCTTTGCAAAGACTGTTCCTGCCATCAAGGCATGACGAGTGGTGGATTGGGGTGCTATTTAAAAGCCTTATTCATAAAGACTACTCAAGAGCCTCTAAAAATAATCTTGTGATTTAACAAGGCCAGGATTCAAATAAGTTAAATGGGTTGGAATAAGTTAAACAACTGACAGGAAAAGGCTAAAGATTTCCCAGCCGTCAACCTCTAGTGGTGTTGGCAGGAGTCTTGTGACCTACCTCTTCCATATCTAATCACTTAACACAGGGGGTCTCTCCCTCTCCCATAGCAATCTCTCCCTTCTTTTCACCCACCCACCCCCATGCTGTTCACATCCAAGAACAACAGGTTGTGCAAATATAGGCATGGATGATAGACAATTCAGTCCCCAGGGATGACTAAACTCACCTAATTCCCTTCTTTACCAGATTTTTATGAGAAAATCACTTTTGATGTTCCAAAGGATGCCGCATTAAAGCATGCTGAGGAGTATTGGTACACCTCCTTGACTCAACTGTAATAATAAAAATACTTAATATTTTTTGAGTGTTCACTGTGTTCTAGGATCTCTGTTGAAAGCTTTTTTCCTTCCAAGTTTGTTATTGTGGTAAAATACATACAACATAAAATTTACCATTTTAGCCATTTTTAAGTGAACAGTTGAATGGTGTTAAGTATATTCATAATGTTATATAACCATCACCACCACCCTTCTTCATAACTCTTTATACCTTCTAAAACTGAAACTCTAATCTATTGAGAGCTTTTTACATATATGATTCTATTTAACTCTCAAGATAACTTTGTGAGATTGGTACTATTGTTATTCCCATTTTTTTAACCAAGGAGACAGAACCTGAGAGATAATAACGAACTCATCCGAAATCACACAGCCATTAGGAGAAGAAAGTAGTTTTAAATCTACGTGTAATAAAGTTTGCACTTGTACTCTTAATTTAAACCTTCCTACAATAAACCAGTGCAAACTCTTTACTGGCTACCCGAGAACCAAACCAGCCAAGGGACTCTGACTTCAGATTATGTGACTGTAACTGAAAGGTCCTCCATCTCTTTGAGATAGATTCTGAAGACAAACTCTTCTCGACTCTTTCTTTTACAAAACCTGCACTTACAGCTGGAAATGTGGAGAGGAACAAGGGCAGAACACCTCAAAGGCTGCCCTGGCATAGGGGAGGTCACACTGCCCTGCAGCTGGTCTCAAGGCTGCCTCACCATTCATCGATTCAGTCTGTTCCGTCTATGTGTTCCGGACAACGCTTAAGTCCAAAGCTGCCTCTAGCAGTCCTGTGATGTGTCAAGACGAGAAGTCACCAAACATAAGGTCCTTTCCTGGCACCATTGTTTGTATTTGGTTTGAGGGCTTCAGCCTGAACATGGCAACACCCTTTTAGGAATGTATGGTGCCAGGTCAGATGGCCAGACTCTGCATGCCATGTAGCTGTGAGTACCACCAGTAACATTTAGAGCTCTGAATAATGAAAACAAGTGCTGGTCAGATGCACTCTCGGTAATCCCATGTGTTATTTTCTAGAAGAAAACAGCAGGTTCTTCTTAGTGCATAGTTATCACGTGCCTTAATCCCCACACCCACTCTATGAGGGCCATACAGACAAGAAAACTGAGGTCTAGAGAAGTTAAGCCACTTGCTCGGTGTCTCACAACTAGTGTCAGGAATTTAATTCAGGTGATCTGATACTCTTACTGTTATTCTGTTCTCCATAATAAAATGAGGTAACCAACATGGCCCAATGCAGCCATTTTCATCAAAGGCCCAGAGGGCTCTCAGATCAATATTTTCTTCCAAACCATTCCAGGTATGAATTTTCCCTGCCTGCTGTGGTCCAGCTTTTACCTTTTTTTTTTTTTTTTTTTTTTTTTTTTTTTTTTTTTTTTTTGGAGACAGAGTCTCACTCTGCTGCCCAGGCTGGAGTGCAATGGTCCAATTTCGGCTCACTGTAACCTCCACCTCCCGGGTTCAAGCGATTCTCCTGCCTCAGCCTCCTGAATAGCTGGAATTACAAGCACGTGCCACCATGCCTGGCTAATTTTTGTATTTTTAGTAGAGGCAGGCTTTCACCATGTTGGTCAGGCTGGTCTCAAACTCCTGACCTTGTGATCCACCAGCCTCAGTTTCCCAAAGTGCTGGGATTACAGGCATCAGCCACCATGCCTGGCCACTTTTACATTTTTAAAGTAGCTCTTTGCTGGAGGAAGACCTTGCAAACACTATCGAATAATGGTGGTGGTAGATGTCCATGATCAGCTAGTGGAAACTTTCTTTAGTGAGTCCTCTCATTTTGAACAGTGGTGTCCTGAGTTACTCCCAGAAAGAGTGATCCTATCCAAGACCGGACATGTAATATTGAAATGGATGGAATATAGAAACTAACTTAAATATTTTAATGTTTCCATGAGAGAATTATTTCCCAATATGTATCTGGAAATATATGTTTTTCAGAATCGAAAATCCCAAGAAAAGCTAATTAAGAAATCAGGAAAATAGGAAAAAGTATTATAATTCTACTGCAAGAATTAAAGCTTCACAATCAATACAAAGACACGTGTTTGAAGAACTCCACTAACATCGTAGCAAAATGAAAGCCTGCAGCTGAAGGTTAAGGTTGACATTTCCAGGAACTGGTACAGCACACATAGGAGGAAAGCCACCCTAACCTAACCAACCTTGCCTGCAGCTGTGGCCATGTTGTAAGGATGTGTTTGTGATTGTGTTTGTTGACAATGGTGAGTCATTTTGGGGAAAAAATGTGATATTAATAAATTTATATGCATATATACTTTATAAAAATCCTATAAGTTGTGTTCCAAAGAATAAAAATTTTTGGCAACAAAATAAGCCCTTAAACTGGTGATTTCAATTTCAAATGCTACCCAATAATGTTTGCTGGCATTTTCAAGCATTTGAATATTTACTATAGGCTAAAGTTCTTTGTAACTACAGGATGAGCATCCCAAATCCAAAAATCCAAACTCTGAAATGCTCCAAAATCTGAAACTACTTAAGAGCCTACATGACACTCAAAGAAAATGCTCACTGGAGCATTTTGGCTTTCAGATTTTTGGATTTGAGGTGCTCAACCAGTAAGTATAATGCAAATATTCCAAAATCTGAAAAAACACTTCTGGTCCCAAGCATTTCAAATAAGGGATACTCAACATGTACTACTAAAATTAATGTTTCCAACTTATTAAATACATTTTTCTTAGATGTCCATCATAATAAGAAATGAACACAAAGAATGTTGAAATATTTTAAGAATAACTTAGGATTTGAGGAATTCCTAAGAATTCCTGGGAGTTTTGATTTCTCATCCTCAAAGATTAATACCTGTTGAAAATCTGGAAACACCAGAATTCTTAAATAAAATGGTAGTAATGAAATGCATCCATTTGCACACTCAAGAGCCCATTCCTTTTAGCTTTCTGAAGCAACAGCAGCAGTCCCTACCCAAGTCATCCCACTAGCTGATTCCTAACATGTCATTGCTGATGTAATCCCTCAAGCAAGAAACATAGGATAGGTTATGAATTACAGAGGGCTTACTACAGTGCATGGAATTCAGGCTGCTTTTGATGAAGTGATGTCATACTATGAATATCTTCTACCTATAGGTTATTAGAACTTCAAGGACCAATAAAAGCAAGATAAAGCCAAATTTAAAGCCAAAAGGAAAGAAGAACCAAGCTCTGTTTTCCAGAGTAACGTGTAGACTTTAGACAAAATTTTCCACCCAAATTTGTGCGTCACAGGTCAGGAGAAAAGCCTATCCCAGTAAATCAGACAAAGAAAGAATCAGAACCTACCACACTATGTAAAATCAGAGGAGACAGGGACCTCAAAGAACATCCCCCACACAATGAACACTGAAGGCTTCCTGAGAAATAGGCAAAAACTCCAGTAAGCACAGGACAAAAGAGAAGTTGCCAAATTAAGAGCCTCCCTTATTTTTGTACCTCATGCCCCTGGTTTATGGCAGACATTGAGCTGGAGAACACCTAGTCATAGCCCTCTCCTTTATATGGGAAATGTTACTCCTTTAAGAAGGATGACTCCCTTTATGTTTTCTATATAAACTTTCCTTATGCATCTTTTATACCCTTTCCCTCACTGAACTTGAGCAGCCCATTCACTCACCTTATAATGTCTATAGAGGAGGGAAAAAAAAGAGAAAAGAACAGAGAAAGGAAAAGGAAAGGGGAAGAGAAAGGGAAAGGGAAAGAAAAAAAAGGAAAGGAAAGGAAAAGAAAAGAAAGGAAGAAGGAAGGAATTGCAAAAAAAAAAAAAAAAAAGTAGAGAAGTAGTTTGAGGTCAACACTTTATCAAGAAAACTTCACTAATTGTGGGAGTGAATTGTCTATGCATGGACATTTTATGAATTTCCCCATTTACAAATGCACCCTACTCACAAAGCTAACTACTTTAAAGTTCTTCACATGGCTACTACCAAAGATAGACTTTTAAAAACAGTCACATTACCTTTGAGGAAGGACCCATGCCAATCTTTTCTCAGTCCATTCAGCGTGAGTGTGTGTGCTGCCAAAATGTGGTCTTGTGTAGTTTTCATTTCATTTTATTAATAAACCCAAGCTTTTCTTCAGAAAAGATGTGCTGATGGCACTTTTTAAAGAAACAAACAGTAACCTTCACAAGACACTCTCCAACTGCAGCAGCAAGCAAGGACTCAATTAGGCCCCAGACTCATATCCCACCAGAGTGGCCAGGACGCATGGTCCAGGCAGAAGAATTTCATGTTTATTTTGTGGAAAATGGGAAATCCTTGGAAGACTGGCATGACATTCCCAAGGAAGTATTTTTGGAAAATAGATTTGTCTCTCTTGAATGGAATAATATAGTCATCTGTCAGCCAGTCGTTGGCCCATTACCAAAAGTACCTCTCTACATCCACTTTTATAAAAACATAATTTCCACTTTTACTTTAGATTCACTCAGAAGGTACATGTACAGGTTTGTTACATGGGTACATTGCATGATGCTGAGGTTGGGGTATGAATGATCCTGTCACCCCGTTAGTGAGCATAGTGCCCAACAGGTTTCAATCCCTGCCCTCCTTCCTCTAGCAGTCCCCAGTGCCTATTGCTGCCATCTTTATGTTCATGAGTATCCACTGTTCAGTTCCTATGTATAAGTGAGAACATGTGGTATTATTACAAACCACTTTTATGTTTTTAGTCTATTTTTGCATATGAAGGTAGACGATGCAATATACTACTGTGTAAATTGTGGAGAAGTAGGAAACTCAATGGAAGCCAAATATAAGATGGATGGAAGGACGCATGGACAAGTCACTGGCACTCTCTGAACCTCAGTTTCCACATCTGTAAAATGGAGGAAATATACCTACCACATGAGAATGAGTATAAAATGCTCAGCACAGTGCCTATCATATAAATATTAGCCTCAAATGTTAGCTAACATCATTATCATCATTATCATCACTATCAACTACCCACCACCACCACAATCATCATGGCCGTCATCAGCACCCTAGCAGCAGCAGCAACATAGGGCCACCAGAGCAAGCCTTCCCATCGTCTCTTGAAATCCCGTTCCCCAGGCAGATCCTTACTGTTCATCATAGTATTTCTCAACATGTTCTTCTCCAGCATAGAGGAGATCCAACCAGGGGAAGAGGCTAAGAAACAGTATGTCAAAAACGTCTTAAATATTGAAGAAGGCTGAGGGTATTGAGGAAGGAAACAAACTACTTCAAGCACAATGACAATTCCCAGGAAATGTAAATTGGTTGGACACCCTTTGTGTTATTCAAGTGTTCCTTACAGATGTTAATTCACCTCATTTGGACCCCTTTGCAAATGGCGGCTGCCAACAAATGTCCCTGGTTAAACACAACTTAAGAGAATTGCTCAGAAAAGGGCATGTTCTGTGCTCCTGCGAGGACAAAGTTAAGATCATTTGTTCCCTACTCAATTCATCTTTGACCCCCAAACACATTCTTCAAGAGCAATCTTCCTCTTTAGAAGTTCCTCTCTTGGGTTTTAGAGAACTTTTTGGCTTGAACTCTTTCTAAAATTAAAGCCAACTGCTGTTAACTCTCAGATGCAATGATATTACACTCTGGCCGGGGCTGACTATCACAGACGCATCCCAAACCACATAAGTTCTTATTGTTTAAACTGTCTTAAGCAGCTGTTAAAACATACCCTAAGATATCAAAGCCACTCTAATTAACTTCCTGCTTCTTTGGGACTTCAAAGTCTTTCAAAAACTTTTAAATAGGGTTTTTATAGAGAATTTGACCTAATATTTGAAGAAAATTTTGCAAGCTTGCCCAAGAGACTCCAACTTCTCCTTCCCTGTTCCACTCCCATTCCCTCCCCACCCCCCAGAACCTCAGCGTTCTAAGACTAGCTGTGAGAATTGAGGATAAATTTTAAAATCTGCCATACCAAAAATGTAAATCTCTTTACTCACATCCATGCTATTTATCAGGGTGGTCATTGACATCCCACGTAAATGGCCCTCCCTGTGACACCCCTTCTCAACTTGGCAACCCTTTGCCCATCCCTCAAACCAAAACTTCTCTGTGAAGTGCCCCTGGATCTCTCAGGGTGAGGGCACCGCTCTCTTTCCCAGCGCCCACACAATCCCCACATCTCTGCTTGGCTTTTATCACGATGAATTGGAATGTGTCCGTTTACGTGTCTGCCTCCCTGTCTAGACTATGAGGTCCATAGGGCAGGAACTGTTTTGTATTAAGCTTTGTGCTCCCACAGCCTAGCACAGGGCTCTGCATACCCATGAGCAGGACTCAATAGATGTCTGATAAATGACTGAGTCCCAACTCATTCTGGGGGAGTTTGAGTTGCATTTTAATGTATCCATTCCTTATTGGTTTTTGACCTCAATCCCCAGGTGTTCCATAAACATCATCTTAAAGGCATTATACCAAGGGAATCGCTGCTCTGAGTAACGGGGTCATAAAAATTAGCTAAAACTTGGAAATAAGGCAAAAATGGTGAGTGGCACACCTTTCCAAGTCCTCCAGAGAATTTCCCAGGAGAATATACTTAGTTCATTTCATTGCTTGCCAGTGACTTAAGGTCTCTGACTTAGTGAATTTATCTATTATCTTGTATATTTTTGTCCAGTAGAGACACTGATCATTTCTGTCTGCTGGAACATATAACCTCAAAGATTTGTGGCCTGTTGGACATTAACCAGTTTATATCTAACCCAGTAATCTTATCCTAACAATTTTTTTATTAAATTGCCTATAAATATCCTCACTTCTTAGTCTTTGAACAGGATATGCCATCTTACTGGTTCCCTCATTAATGAATGAATTAAATAAAATCTTTGGTGGCACAGGCTTTTAGTCCTAGCTACTTGGGAGGCTGAGATGGGAGGATCACTGGAGCCCAGGAGGTCGAGGCTACATTGAGCCATGATCACACCATTGCACTCCAGCCCAGGTGAGAGAAAGAGGCTCTGGCTCAAAAAAAAAAAAAAAAAAAAAAGGGTGTTTCTTTTGTATTTCCCTGAATCAGATTTTACCTTTTTAACAATTTTTTTTTAGAAATAAAAGTCATAATCCACAGTGACAGTACAAAACCAAAAGTCTACAGGTTAGGTCCCATGGAGCAGCAGAGAGGCCTGGGCTGGGTGTGCAGGAAGTTGGCTCTGCTAGGAACTCTCTATAACCTCCAGAACCTCCCTCGTGCTTATCTGTCACAGAAGGACAATATCCTAAGCTCCCTGTATCCCTCACAGGATTACTGAGATAATCACATGGATCAATTTACTTAAATAACTTTGGAAGAGTCTAAAGTACCAGTCCTGGTGGGGCATGGTGGCTCATGCTTGTAATCCCAGCACTTTGGGAAGCCGAGGTGGGTAGATCACATGAGGTCAGGAGTTCAAGACCAGCCTGGCCAACATGGCAAAACCCTGTCTCTACTAAAAATACAAAAATTAACCTGGCATAATGGCGCGTGCCTGTAATTCCAGCTACTCGAGAGGCTGAGGCACGAGAATTGCTGGAACCCGGAAGGCGGAGGTTGCATTGAGCCGAGATTACACCACTACACTCCAGCCTGGGCAACAGAGCGAGACTCTGTTTCATAATAAATAAATAAATAAAGTAGCAGTCCACCATGAAGCTCTTGTAAAAGAAGGCCAGCTTTTCCCCCAGAAAACAGTGGTGAGAAGGACAATACATGGAAGGAGACCAGAATGAACATAGATAGGAAGGAGCTGCTGCCATCCCACCCCACCCCTCTGGCCCAGGGTTAAACCACTGTCAGCTCCTGCCTGGACATTGGGAAGAGCCTTCTAAAGCATCCACTCTTGCCTCCAACCCCATCCAGTCTCCACACAGCAGCGACTGTTCTTTCCAAACTGTAGGAAGATCATGTCACGCCTCTGCTTCAAGCCCTCCAGAGGCCCTCCGACACTCTTAGGTTAACATTCACACTCCTTTCTTGGCCCACAGGGCACTATGTGATCCAGCCCCATGGCTACTTCTCCAAACTCATCTCAGGGGTTTCTCATCTTTCCTCTGTGCTCCAGCTTCACAGGTGCTATTAGGCTCCTCAGGCAGGTGTAGCTCTCTCACCTCAGGGCCTTTGCCCACTTGCTGTTTCTTCTACCCGAAAGTCTCATTCCCATCCCCCTTTCTTCACATTACTGGCTTCTTTTGATATTACCTTAAATTTCACACACACACCCCAGAAAGAACATCCTTGCCCACCCTTGCCAGAAATATATCTACCACTATTCTCTCTCTGGCTCTGTTCTTAGTACTCTCCAGCATGGGAAGATATTTATGTATGGTCTGTCTCCCCCATCAGCAAGACTGCCTGGTAATTGCCCTAGTGCCTGGCACATAGTAGGCACCTGATACATATTTGTTGAATACATGAGGATAAAGGCACAAGATACCCAGCTGCTTCCAAGTAACGGAGGTCATGCGGGACAGACACATTTCTGAACCCGTGCAATGCAAGTTCCTGAATCCCAAGTACATGTTTCAAAAGACTGTTAACCAAGAAGAAAACTCCCAAGCTCGCAAGGCGTCAATTCAGTGCTGCTTTCAAGAACAGGGCTCCTCAGAAACGCTCTGCCTAAGGAACAACAAGTAACAACAGGTCTCACCAGCACTTCATTTCGTAACTCCAAAGATATCGAATCACTTCATGAGAAGGAAACAGCCCTTCCTACCAAGAATGAAACATTACCCAGAAACACGGCTGCATCTGTACCCAAGGGCTAGGCTTGAAGCAGATGAAAACAACCACCAACTGGAATTCACGGATGTTTCAACAGCACATTGGGGAGAGAAAATCCCAAGCTGCCTTACAGGATTCTGCTCGAGGTTTGCTTCAGGGTATCCAATTATACAGCTCCCTCTCCACAAGCCTTAATCAGAGCCGCAGGGCGCTCCATTTCCAGGGGCTTAGGGCTTTACAGTTTCTGTGATCACTCTTGCCAGCCACTCCAATGGCTGCAGCACGAGGCCCCGTACCTTCAGGATGCTCCCATAATGCCCAGGGCGCTGCCGGCTCACCTCTGTGAAAAGATACCTCCAACAAGCAATGCTGCCTAAGAGCTGCTGGTTAATGGGGTGCTCGTCTCCATTCACATTTTTCATATCAAGGATATCAAACAGCAGCAAAAGAGGTCATGGCAGCAAAAAGCTATTTCCTGGAAAAGTGTCTGATGGGGGAAGGGCCCAAAATGATTTCATTCACTATGTGACTGGCCCGGTCAAGTTATCTGGAGATCAGAGGCTGCTGGAAACCTGCCCCTAGAAGTCCTTCCCCACAAAGGCTTGTGGCCAACAGGAATGCTAAGGCAGGGATGCAAACAGGGCTTTCTTGCTTTGGGGGAAATATTAGGTTGTAGCCCCAGATAAGTTCATTCTAAGCAGCCAGGCAGAGAATACCTATCTTCAAGTGTTTACCTTTTTCAGGTGCAACAGAATTTTTTTCTGCACCTGTCAACCTGCCACCCCCAATCAAAGGCCAGGCTGCAGCCTTCACAGCCAGGACCCACCCACCTGTGCAACCTCTGCCCAGAAACCCAAGTCCTATCTCAGGATTCCAAGTTAAAGAGTTTCTCTTATCACTTCCAACCCCTTGCCTCCATGAAGAAGTTCTTCCCTGAAACGCACCAAACTCTTCTTGAAACTCAGACAACGACACGAACGAGCTTGTCGCCATGCTTTGTTTAACTTTTTTTTTTCTCAGAAATGTCTTGTGGCCAAAAATAGAACATTTTCCGTTCTGGGGAACAAACAGCATCCATGGGAATTAAAGTAGTGCCTCATGCCTCTCCAGAAAATTCCTGCACGCACACTCATGCACACATAAGCTGCTTGCAAGTTCCAAAACGTTGCTTTCTGTAGGTACAGTGGTGAACAGGAGCCAAAAGTCCTCTGTTTATTTTCTATCCAAGAAAGTTGCCAGATAAAAAAACACAAGGGCACCTCAGGGAGGCTTTATAGGAAAAATCTAACTTAACCTAGTGTAATGATTTTGAAAATGGCCCCATTGTCCACCCCTCCTCCCTCTCACCACCATCCTAGAGTTGGTCTCAAGACTCACTCCTCTAAAATTCCAAAACGTCATGGCCTTTATTCCGGCAAGCTACTGTTGCATGATTAGCCATGAGGTTTCTCTAAACTTACTCCTTCGATGGAATCAGAAATGACACATTTAGGAAAAAAATCTCAATCTTAAATACTGAACTAGGTAAAATGAAGCCTTGTGTAAAATGTCAGAAAAACAGTAATCCAGAAATTAGGCTACTAGCACAAGATGCGGCAGTATTTTATACACTCTTACGTGTCTTACAAATTTATTATTGTCAGCATTTCCATAATCCTCTTTAATGAGACTTACATGGCTACAATGACATTTCTTATTTTTACGTTGGAATATGCAGCCCATTGACTATCCGCCACCTCTCCAAAACCAGGGATTGTGTTAGCTATGAGGTCTGCAGGGGCTGTTTTGTTTGTTTGTTTTGCTTGTTTGTTTGTTTTTTGAGATGGAGTCTCGCTCTGTTGCCCAGGCTGGAGTGCAGTGGCACGACCTTGGTTCACTGCAAACTCCGCCTCTCGGATTCAAGCAATTCTCCTGCCTCAGCCTCCTGAGTAGCTGGGATTACAGGCACCCGCCACCATGCCTGGCTAATTTTTTGTATTTTTAGTAGAGACGGGGTTTCACCATGCTGGCCAGGCTGGTCCTGAACTCCTGACCTCGTGATCCTCCTGCCTAGGCCTCCCAAAGTGCTGGGATTACAGGTGTGAGCCACCGCACCTGGCTGGGGCTATGTTTTTATATGCAGCTGGTAAGAATTTAGAAATGAGGATTAAGAAAAAGGAAAGGTCCTTTAAAATAACTGGATCTATTGCTGACACCAGAAGTAGGAAAAACTAATAAGCCAATACAGGGACAGTGAAGGAAAGACCAAGAAATGGGGAAAAGCATAAGAATAGGGGAGAAAACGGGAAGTAAGAGACAGAGAAGAATCTGAACATCAGACACTAATTGATGGATGATTGGAGGTGAACAAAAGCAAACTGAATGACCCAAGAGGGGCCATGGGAAGACAAGTATGGCAGGAGAGAGGGGACAGGAAGGCCAAAGGGAGAAGTAAGCATATAATCTAATGATTAGAGAATAGTTATTTACCAACTGGGTTACATTGGCCAGTTCACCATTCTGAAGCTCAGTTACTTGGTATATTAAGTGGAGATACTAGAATCTCATGCAGGAGCATGTGGATTAAATGAGTTAATACATAAGATGCTTATAACAGTGGCTGGTTCAGAGTAAACATTTAACAAATGTTAGCTATTATTATTACCAAAAGACAAACATATTGCATATTTCCATCAGAGAATATTTGCTTATGGGCTAGACCTTCAGTTATACTGTCATTGCATTCTTCTAACACATAAGGAAGCATAAAAATTACGAGGGAGCTGTGAACCCAAGTGCACTGGTGAAAGAGATTGCAGGATAGTGGTCCAGACGCTGACAAGTACTTGCAACAATTAGCCCCCAGAGACTGAATGAAAGGGATTTCGTAGCCAAGAATTTGTCACAACCACTGTTCCCATTTTCGACTTCGATACTTCATTCAGTCAACAAACATCATGCAAGCAGCTCTTGAAGCCTACACACATTTGGTCTTGCCCCAGCTTATCTTTCTAGAATCAACTTGAGCCCCTTCTACCAACCTCACCATTTTGCAGCTGTACCAGGGTAATTATTCAAAAGACATTTCTTGTTCTTATGATCCTGCCCTCCTGCATTTGCTCAAGTTGTTTGCTCAACCTGGAATTTCCTTTCCTATTTCTGTAGTCTAGCAAGATATTAGTCATCCATCCAGGCCAAATGTTGTGTTGGTTTTTGTGCCCTCCGTTTTCTTCTCCCCCATTGTTTAGCAGGATGAATCCTCCTCACCTCAGTTCTCTTGGTATACAAATGGTAAATATTAATATATACACCTTATTATGGATTGAACTGTGTCCCTCAAAGATGATATTGTGAAGTCCTGACTCTTTGTGTGTGACCTTATTTGGAAACAGAATCTTACAGATTACAGAAGTAATCAAGTTAAAATGAGGTCATTAGGGTGGTCCCTAATCTGACTAGTGTCCTGATAAAATAAGAAAACTTGGAGGCCAAGCACAGTGGCTCACGCCTGTAATTCCAGCACTTTGGGAGGCCACGGAGGGCAAATCACTTGAAGTCAGGAGTTCGAGACCAGCTTGGCCAACAGGGTGAAACCCCGTCTCTACTAAAAATAAAAAATTTGCCAGATGTGGTGGCACACGCCTGTAATCCCAGCACTTTGGGAGGCCCCAAAGCGGGCGGATCACTTGAAGTCAGGAGTTCGAGACCAGCCTGGCCAACATGGTGAAACCTTATTTCTACTAAAAATACAAAAATTAGCTGGGCATGGTGGCACACATGTGTAATCCCAGCTGCTCTGGAGGATGAGGCAGGAGAATTCCTTGAACCCAGGGAGCAGAGGCTGCAGTGAGCCAAGATTGTGCCACTGCACTCCAGCCTGAGCAACACAGCAAGACTCCTTCTCAAAAAAAAAAAAAAAAGGAAGAAAGAAAGAAAGAAAATTTGGACACAGAGACAGATGTACAAAGGAACGACACATGGAGAACTCCAGGTATAGGTAGAGGATTGGAGTGATGCATCTACAAAGTCAAGGAGCCACGAGAAGCTGGAAGAGAGGCATGGGCCCGACTCACCCTCACAGCACCCAGAAGGACCCAACTCTGCCATCACCCTGATTTCAGACATCTAGCCTCCAGAGCTGTGAGGAATACATTTCTATTATTTAGAGCCTCCCAGTTGTGACACTTTGTTAGGACAGCCCTAGGAGACTAATCTGCACCTCAACCACAGCACACGCTTGGTCTCCATGGGAGATCCCTGAGGTCAGGAACTGAAGAGCATTTGTCTCTAGATTCTCAGACCTCTAGCATCATCTGGCAGGTAAAAGGCTCTCTAAACTCTAAATTCTTATGAAGTAACTCTCTAGGAGTCCACAGTCTAGACCAGGGGTCGGTAAACTCTTGGCTTGTGGGCCAGATCCAGCCCACTGCCTGTTTCAGTAAATAAAGTTTTATTGGAACACAGCCACGCTCATCCATTTGTTTTGTCTATGGCTGATTTCACACTAAAACCGCAGAGTTGAGTAGTTGCAACAGAGACCATATGGCCTGTAAAGCCTAAAATATTTACTCTCTGGCCCTTTACCAAAAAATTCTACTGACCCCTGGTCTAAAAGGAAAGAAACATAAATGAAGCACAGCAATAGAATAAAATCAATTCTATAATATAACATAGATAGGTGCAGAGAAAAGAATTATGGGTTGAATCAGTATTTATAGAGAAGATGACATTTTTAAAGTGAGAGTCTAGTTGGAAAAGTCAAAATACATCATTTATTCCCTCTATTGTGTCCTCTGAACTACCAACCTTTGCACTAGTGGTTGCAGAGTGGTTGTGGGCTGGAGTTGTAGAGCTGGTTTGGGGGAAAACGATGATGGGTTCATTCTCTACCCATTGAGTTGGACTGGCCAGTGGCATACCCAAGATGAGATGTCCTCTCACTAAACATTGCTGAGAAGTCTAGGTCAGAGGCACAGATTTGGGGCTTAACACAATACAGATGAAGCCCTCACAGGAAGAGAGAAGCTTACCCAGAAAGAGTAGGAGGTGAGGAGAGAAGACAGTTGCACAGGAAATTCAGGGCACTTCTGAACTTAGCAGTAGTAAAGGAAGAGGAAAAGCCCCTGAGGGGCCTTTTTACAGAGAAGAGAGACAGGGAAAAAAAAAGAGGGAATGCTGTTCCTCGGGCCCAGGAAAAGAGGGTCCAGCAGTGTCCAGATGCCAGGAGAATGAATCTGACATATTCAGCAACCAAGAGGCCAATGGCCTGGCATCAGTCATTTCAGTTGCTTATCACTGGCACAAGTTACTACTCAAACTGAACCATAGGAAAAGGGAACTTCAGTTATCATGAATAGAAAACAATAGAGACTAAGAGAAAGGGAAAGAAAAAAAATTTTAAAAAGAGATGAGAAAAACACAGAAATTGAAGATAACAGGGCTGAAATTAACCTCATCCATGAAATCTATGTTATGCTCGTTCTATATCAACTTTATACTTTATCTAAATTCAACAGAGCTAACTGAAAAAACAAGGAAAATTCTACCATTTGAGACAACATGGATGAACCCAGAGGACATTATGCAGAGTAAAGTAAGCCAGACACAGAAAGACAAACAATGCATGATATCACTTACATATGAATTCTAAACAAATCAAACTCATAGAAACAGAGCGTAGAAAGGTGGTCAGGGGATGCAGGATACAATACAGGGAGGAGATTTTGGTCAAAGGGTACCAAATTTCAGTCATAAAAGACGTAAGTTCTATAGATCTAATATACAACCTGGTAACTACAGTTAATACTAGACTGTATGCTTGAAACTTGCCAAGAGAGCAGGTCTTAAGTGTTCTAATCATAAAAAAAAAATAACTGTATGAGGTGACAGATATGTTAATTGTGAAATCACTCCAAACCTATGCATATAATTGTCCCCCCTTATCCAAGGGGAATATGTTCCAAGATCTCCAGTGGGTGCCTCAAACCACAGATAATACTTAGCCCTACATGTACTATGTTTTGTCCTGCACATACATATCTATGATAAAGTTTAACTTATAAACTAGGCACTGTAAGATAGTAACAATGAAAACTAGCAAAAAAATAAACAATTATAACAATATACTATAATGAAAGTTATATGAAGGTGGTCTCTCTCGCTCTTTCTCAAAATATTTTATTGTACTATATTCACTGATTTTCAGACCTCAGTTGACTGTGAGTAACTGAAACCATGCAAAGAAAAACCATGAATTAGGGGGAACTACTGTATATCAAAACATCACATAGTACACCTTAAATATACACAATTTTAATTTGTCAATTGTACCTCAGGAAAGCTGAGCAGAAAAGAAATAAATTCAACAGGGCTGAAAATTAATCAAGTGCATATGATTCATTCTTTTAGACAGCGCAGAAAATTCGATAACTGACTTAAAGCACATTAACAGGTTTTAAAGTAATCCCAGCTACAAATTATTGACTGCCCGCTCTGCGCCAGGTGCTGTGAAAGTTGCTTTAGATGGATTACCTCATTTGATCCCCACTAAAACCCTGTGTGGTGAATATATAGTAAAGTATAATTTATGATTTTTAGATGAGGAAGTTGAGGTTCAGAAATATCTCACAGCTATACACCATTCTGGGAAGGAGGAAAATGGGGAGCAGAGAAGAAGGGAGGAAACCAAAGTCAATATTTATAAATTGTTTACTGTTTGTAAGTATTACTGTAAGAATTTTAAATACTTTGGGTTCATTTCAGCCTCACAACAACCTATATGGTAGAGGGAATGGCAAGTAAATGAACTTAAAGAGGTTGCCAAAGCTTAGAAGTGAGGGAAAAACTGTGGGTTTCCAAAGAAATCTCTCAGAATTCAGAAATGAACTAACTATGGAGTTATGTGAGGGTAAGATCAGTCTAAGTCAATGCTAAAATAATACAAAATAACTCTGACTGCCTTCTAAGACATTTCTGAAGAGTTCCTCTGACCTTGAATGGAGGAAAACAGAACCATCCTCCCCTCCCCACATCTCCTACAGTCCACCCCCAGGAGAGGGAAAGGCCCCAACGAGGTGGCACTGGCTTGAAGCTCCTCCTCTGTGTCATAAGGGATGGGATCACATGACCCTGAATTCCTTCCAGAATTAAACATCAATGTTTTCAAGCACATGATAGAGTCTGGCAGGTAAAGGGACTGCAATGAGTGCTTATTACATAAGGAATTCAACTGAGATTTTAAAAGACCCCAATGAAGAGTATGTGAAAAATGGTCAATTGTCACAAATCACTTCCTTGTCTTGAAGGGGCTTTGTTCTGCAGAGTCTCCGCTTCCTTGCTTTACACAACTCCTGATATTCCAGTACAAAGTTGTGATCCAGGCCTCTCCTTGTCCTCATTCATGCATTCGTTCCACAAACAAAAAATTCTTCTCTGAAATGTATGTCATCCATTTTAGTGAACACTTAGAAGATGATCTTGAAATAATTGAGCATGCTAACAAACCAGGGAAAGGCCTGCTTAAGAACAATGAATGTTCATAATGCCTGAGGGAAGACAAGAAAATAGATTACTTATTCTTTATCATGGTTCTAATTAAGAATTTGGGTTCTTTGTTGTTGACTATGGAGAAATAAAACCCTCATACTCTGCTGGTGGAAGTTCTCATTACTTCTGGGAAATAACCTGGCAATTCTTATCATGAGCTTTAAAGTAAGTCAAGCCCTTGACTATGGAATTCTCCTTCTAAGGTTATAAACTTAGGAAAAGCACCAGAAAAGCAGGATGAGGGAAATAGTATCATGTTTTGCTCAAACTCTGGATTTATAGTGCCTGTACTATTCTAATGCTCACTTAGATGATCTACTTAACCTCTGTGCCTAAGTTTCCTCATCTGAAAAATGGAGATGACAATGGTCTCTGCATCACAAAGTTAACATCAAATGAGTTTAAAAGTGCAACATAATTTACATTTATTTTCTCTCTTTTTTTTTTTTTGAGACCGAGTCTCTCTCTTTCAACCAGGCTGGAGAGCACTGGTGCAATCTTGGCTCACTGCAACCTCCACTCGCAGGTTCAAGAGGTTCTCACGCCTCAGCCTCCTGAGTAGCTAGGATTACAGGCACACACCACCATGCTCTGCTCATATTTGTATTTTAGTAGAGACCATGTTTCACCATGTTGGCCAGGCTGGCCTTGAACTCCTGACCTTAAGTGACCTGCCTGCCTTGGTCTCCCAAAGTGCTGGGATTAAAGGCGTGACCCACCGCATCCAGCCTCTCATTTATTTCTCGTAAAAACTCCACAAGGAAGGCAAGAAAGATATTGGCCTGACATAGTCAATAGTAAGCATTCTCAATTAAATACAGTTTATTTTTATTAGTATCATGTATATTACAAAGATATAAAGATGTTCATTATATTATTTATTATAGTGAAAATGTGTCAAAAATTAATTGTTCAACAATAAGAGAACAGTTAAATAAATGATACTTTCATATGATAAAATAAGCAGATATTTAAAATGTTGATTTCAAAGAGAGGTTAACAAAATGGGAAAAATTCATCAAATAGTGTTGAGTGAAAAAGTAGGTGGAGAAGTTGCATGGACTGTATGATCCCAATTTTAACATGACATTGCAGTGGATACCGAATGCAGTCTTTGCCCAACTCCCCTTTGTGAAGTACCTGTCCCTCTCCAGCTGCTGGGAATATCACTGCTGATAGCACACAGCTGCATCCCCTATTGGGAATTGTCCTTGGCCCCAAAAAATAGAATCATCCAGAATTAGCCCCTCTAGGGGGCCAATGACTCACTGATGCAAGGATACAAAAGCCGGGCCAGTTACTTTACTTTGGGTCAATTCTAAAGGGCCGTCCCAGCTCCACAGCTCCCTCCATGATTGGCTGAGTCTCAGTTGCAACTGCATCTGGAGTCAGATTCTCCTCTGCACAGCGCGGTCCTTCCTTACTTTCTTACAAGGAGCATCTCCTGAAAGCATGCTCCCAGTAAGCATTCAGCAGGCAATTCTCAGAGTCTGTTTCCAGAGAACCCAATCTAAGGTATATTTAGATCAAAATATAATGAAGAGATGGAGCGTGGTAGATTTGGCGGGCAATGAAACTATTCTATGTCATACTTTGGTGGATACATGTCATTATACATTTGTCCAAACTCATGCTATATACAAGAATGAACCCCACTGTAAACTATGGACTTTGGATGATAATGTTATCTTGATGCAGGTTCATCAGTTGTAACAAATGTCTACTCTGGCAGGAAATGTTGATAATGGGGGAGGATCTGCACGTGTTAGGGAAGTGGGTATATGAGAACTCTCTGACCTGCTCAATTTTGCTGTGAACCTAAAACTGCTCTAAAAAATTAAGTATATTAAAAATATATATATTATGAGGGAATAGCTCTGAGTAAAGAAATTTCTGGATTTTCCAAATTCTGTATAAAAAGTATGTAGTACTTATTTTAAATGAATAAAATGACATTGTTTTAAAAGACGCAGAGTCCTCCCTGGACTGTTATAATTAATTAAGCCCATGAATGTCAATACATAGATTTTGTTTTATTTCTTTATCTCAAGCTGAGTTTTCTTTAAAAATATGCACATGTTTTCATTTAAATGGCATCACTCATAAGGAATGAGCCTAAATTAAATATATACACATACACTTCAGAGTATAAGTGTCTCAACCTGGCCATCAGGTTCCTTAATGTTCATATCCTAATGATCTACTGCAGCTTAAAATCTGACTCCTTACTCTGGGAGAATTGTTTTCATATTCTGTGCTATTTACTAGTCACACAAGAAAATCAGCCTCATGGTTTTGTAATAGTACTGTGGTGATTTATTTTTTTAAATCTTGCCCATTTTCCCACTCATCTCATTGTCCACTCAGTTAGATTCTGAAAACTACTGAAAGTTTCAAAAGATCCAATTCTTCCTCAAAAAAGATTAAGATTTTTCTTCATTGAGGATATTCAAAAACGTGCCAGAGATTTTGACAGTAGTTTCAGAAGAGGAGGCCTAAGACATCTGGAGTGATGACACATTGTTGGAGTATGAGCTCAGCCACCTACAGTAGCTGCTTGGAGAACACAATGCTTTGAATGGATTGGCTTTGGGTGTTTCTTCAAAGTTAAATCCACCATGGAACTTCAGCTTAGATTTTAAAATAATATAACTTTAGAAGTAACTATTTGAGTCAGACTTTCCACTTGTAGGTACAGAACATCTCCTCCTATGGATAAATGGCAAATTATTGTTACGAGATCAGAAAAAGCCGTCAAGATCTAAGGAAGCTGGAGGTGAACGAAAGAAGCCTGTGGAAATCTTCCACTCAAATAGTATATACTGCTCTCAGAGAAGTTATTATAACTATCGATAAAGGGGGAAAGAACAGACAAAGATTTTGGCTTTATATTTTTTGTATCATCAGTCTTGCCTTTGTGAGGATATACAATGTTCTTGCATCAGCAGCAGTTGGATTTTTTTCCCCACTGGAAACATCAAGTACAGCCTGTGATATAGGGTATCCAGGTAAAAGATTTTCGTATTTGGAGAGGAAATACTGCATGAAGTCCAGGGAAATAGCATGTTTTTATAACGGTAGTCTTTCTAGTAATCCCAATTCTGGGAGACTAACTCAAGAAAATAAGCAGAAATGTAGGAAAAACTTCATGCACAAGGATATCAATCATAATGCTATTATTTATGTATAAATATTCTCACAACAGTGAGAATAAGCTAAATGCTCCATACTAGGCAAATGGTTTGAGTAAACTCTGCTGCGTCAACTCACTGATGTTTCTGAAGATTTTATAATAATAAGGAAAAATAGTCATAGTGTTGAATGAACAATACCGGATATACAGTTCTATGTCTGATGTAATGCTAATCGCACACACACACACGCACACGCCAAGTAAGCATTAAAAAATAACTAGAAGGAAAAACAACAGAATGTCACCAACCAGGGGATGTCTTAGTGAAGTTTTATGTATTTTTTTCCCTTTCTTCTACTAGTCTGTATGTTACTCATTTCTTTCAATGAAATAGAAATTATAAACCTTATATTATAAAAATAAAAAGAGGAGGAGGGGCTGGGCACAGTGGCTCATTCCTATAATCCCAGCACTTTGGGAGGCCGAGGCGGGTGGATCACCTGAGGTCGGGAGCTCGAGACCAGCCCGACCAACATGGAGAAACCCCGTCTCTACTAAAAATACAAAATTAGCTGGGCATGGTGGTGCATGCCTGTAATCCCAGCTACTCGGGAGCTGAGGCAGGAGAACTGCTTGAACCTGGGAGGCAGAGGTTGCCGTGAGCCAAGGTCACGCCATTGCACTCCAGCCTGGGCAACAAGAGTGAAACTCCATCTCAAAAAAAAAAAGAGAGAAGAGGCGGAAGAGAATGGCTATACCTTCACCCTGGTTACTGAGGTGATTAGGGAAAATAAATGGAAGGAGCCTTGATGGATCATTGAAATCAGCCACCAGGTTGCTGATATAGAAAACAAGCAATGTAAGAAACTGACCAAAAAGAACATGTTAAAATAAGAGTGAAAGAGTAGGCACTGTAAGAATTTGCATTAGGAAAGTATTTTGAAATGCTCCTCAGTGTGGTTTTATCATGTTTCTTTTCACTCAGACCTTTCTTCCATTCAGTGAGCTGTGCATTCAGAACCACTTGTTCAAAAAGAAAGGAAAACCTAAGACCCTATCTCAAAATGAGACCCTGTCTTAGAAAGGAAAACCACAATTCTGTTCTTGGCCTGGGTTTTAGAGCCCAAAGCTAGTGAGGAGTAGAAGAATTTGGGACATAAATTGAGAGAAAGTCTAGCTGACCCTCCATATTAGAAAACATTGCCCAGACTAGGATGAAAGGGAGACGTGGAAAGCAAGCTAAGAGAGCTGGACACCGGTGGATCCCCGACAGTGGGTCCTGCAGCCTGGCCCAACCCACTGACCTTGTGGGAATGGGAAGGGAAATGCCTCAAACCCCATGCAGGCTTGATGATATGTGTGCCCCTTTCTCCAGGTAAAGTCATGGAGGCTGCAAGATGTCATAGGAGAAAATGTGGCCATGTGAGATCTAAGCAGCCCAAAGCAATTAAGTTTCCCCATGCCAAAATGATGCAGAAGAGAGGCTGGATTCCTGTATGCCTAAGAGCACTCACGAGGAGTGAATTCTACCAGTACTCAGCTACCCAGCCACCCAGCAGGACATGGAGGGACAGAATACCTTTTATGCTCCCAAGGGCCCACTGATAAGCCTAGGGCCTTATCAGCCTTAGTAAGTTCCTGTGTCCAAGGAACTGCATCCAAGAGAGACACAGAAGTAGCAGAAAGAGCCAGCCAGCTTTGAAAGAGCTCTGAGATGAGAACGAAATGTCCCTAGCAATGATCTCTGTTGCCTGAGGACCAGGAACCAGGCCGAATGATGGTCATCTCAGGGGCTTCCATACGTAAGCCCCCAGGAAATGCAAGGTAATCATGGGAAGAGGTGGTGCTTAACTGACTGAAATTTAATTTCCAATACTCAAAGGAATGGGAGTGCAAATGAGAGGTTAGCTATTTCATTGATACTAAAATGCCATCGATTGTAAAATACATCATTAATTTGTGTGCCACCAAGAAAGAAAGATGCCCCCAATTAATCTATGAAACAATGCTTTCTCTTTGTTTCAAATTTTTATTTTATACTTGCTGGAGAAGCCCTTTAAGACTTGTTGGGACGTAGACTTTTATTACATGTCACTCTTGTACACATAAAAAAGAAAATAAATGTATTAAGAAATTCCTAAACATATCTCTTCATTCAGAGTCTAACTCTTCCACATCACTGTTTATATTTTTCTCCTCACTATTTTTCTCTGTTGGTGATGAAACATTTCTTACTAGTATCCTCACTCTTGACTCCAGGTTTTCTTCCAAGATGTTGTCACCCATTGTTAAAGGTTTAATGTGAGCCAGGCGCAGTGGCTCATGCCTGTAATCCCAGCACTTTGGGAGGCCGAGGCAGGCGGATCATGAGGTCAGGAGATCGAGACCACGGTGAAACCCCGTCTCTACTAAAAATACAAAAAATTAGCCAGGTGCGGTGGCGGGCGCCTGTAGTCCCAGCTACTCAGGAGGCTGAGGCAGGAGAATGGCGTGAACCCGGGAAGCGGAGCTTCCAGTGAGCTGAGATTGTGCCACTGCACTCCAGCCTGGGCGACAGAGGGAGACTCCGTCTCAAAGAAAAAAAAAAACAAAAAAAACAAAAAGGTTTAATGTGAGTGCGCTCTTGCTTGGCATGTACTAACATGCAATGCTTTTTAACATAACTCTGTATCGCAGTTTCGTATACTTATAGTAATTTAATTCTCTTACTCTGTATGACACTGTAGCTTTGAAGTGATTCTTATAATTTTTTTTTGCTTTACTATATTTACACTCCACTACTGTTTCTGAGCCTTTCTGTTCATTATAAGTTTTCATTTCATTGCTGAAACTCAGGATAATCTTTTTGAAAATATTGCAAACAGCAACTAAACTCTGCCTGGGTAATACCAACAGTGCATATTATTCAACTAAAGAGGTAACAATATCTAAATACCTATGACCATGTTCACACACATACAGACAATGGCAAATAAATCAGCACTGCCACCCAGCAAATAGCAATTCAAACATGCCATCAATTATTAGATCCACATTTCAGAGATGTTAGCATACAAAAAGGCATGTATTGGAATTAATAAAATATGGTAATTTGAGTTAAAGGAAAATGTAAAGTACATTTTTTACACACCTGAACTTATAGAACAAAGTTATACCCATTACACTGGTGTAAGGCCCTCCCCATACAGCAAAGAGAGACTATCACTTGCATTTTAAATGCATCCAGTTAAGAGTTTCATTAGCAGGCTGGCCACAGGATAAGGTCCAAAGTCCTTAGTCTAATATGATCTCATGATCTCTGGCTGGAATAGGTTAAGCAGGAACAGGATCCCTGAGCTGCTGACATGAAAAGGAAGGTTATATGGCTTCACACAGGAAGTGTCACAGCATGCATTTTTCTGTCTCATCAAAGAAGACATTTTCAGCCTGGCCCTTAATCAGGTAGTGAGTCTTCCTGACGAAGAGCAGACTATAAACTTGCTTTCACCATGTGGCTGCAGCACAGTCTTTAAAAATGTATTTTCATATATATATAAAAGTTTTTATATTAAAAAATGTACATATACAGGTAAAGAGAGGATAGACATGTGCCTAACAGCTTAGGCTTCTAGTCCAACCAATATGTATTTGAGTCCCAGATCTGCACTTATTTATTGTATGACAAGTTGTTTAATTTCTGTGTGGCAGAGACTGGCTAGATACTCACCAAAATTGTTTCCTCTTCTCCTAGGTGTATAAGAAGATTATATTTCCCAGCCCCCTTGCATTTCAACAAAGGCATGTAATTGATTCCTGGCCAATAAAATTTGAGCAGAAGGAATACACTACTTCTAGGCCTGGGTTCTAAACCCTTTTGTATGATCTCCACTTCCTCTCTCCTTTGTCTTGTCAGTGCCACCAGATTCAGAGGACCTAAGGGAGGATTCTGAGACCCATATGAAAGGAGCCTGAATCCGTGAATAACTATGTGGAGTAGACACCCTTGACCACTAAGGTACATGGACATGAGCAATAAAATAAGGCTTTGTGTGTTACAGTAGTTATCACACTCTATTTAATACATGCTGTATACCTCAGCTTCTTCACCTGTGGAAAATATTAAGTTAATTACTCAAAGGAGTAGCACAATGCCTTTTACATAGTAAGTACTAAATAGTAGAAGCTATGTTACTATTGCTGTAGATATCATCCTTGTTATTACTGAGGCAAAGAACTCAGGTATAGATGTTGAACAAGCAGGCAGTTTTTTGCGCATATATTAGAGGGAAGTAAAACTTTTCTAAATATCAACTGGTGCAGACTTATGTAAAGTGAAATTTGAGCAATCACATTTCAGACACCAAGAATCATCCGCAAATAGTAAGTAATAAAGACCCTGAAAGAAGGAAGTGACTGATTCCTGAGCAGGCAGCGTAGGTTAAGGACAAGTGTCGGTTAAGGACCAGCATCAGAGTCAGAAGGAGGTCAGCAGAAGCTGGGAGAAGAGGAATCCAGATCAGGCCAGAACAGAAACTGCTCCCCAGGGCCACACTGGGCAATGTTTCTCAACAGTGCTCCAGGGAAGAGGAAGTAGTTGTCATCATCAAAATTCTACCCCCTGAACATAGAATGGTTAAATTAAAATAGAATTAAATACATGTAGTTCTTATTGTTTCCATAAAATTATCAGAGACCATCCTGGTAACTGCTATAGAGACATCCCCCACCTGCCATTTGGATTTGATTCTCGTAAATAAAATGAATCCTTCTTGTCAAACATTGCTTTAACAAGCTTTATTTCTTTTGTGATTTTTTGTTGTTGTTGTTGTTTGTTTGTTTTTGTTTTTGTTTTTGTTTTGTTTTTGAGACAAAGTCTTGCTCTTGTCCCCAAGGCTGTAGTGCAATGGCACTATCTCGGCTCACTGCAACCTCCGTCTCCCAGGTTCAAGTGATTCTCCTGCCTCAGCCTGCCAAGTAGCTGGGATTACAGGCGCCCGCCACCACGCCCAGCTAATTTTTGTATTTTTAGTAGAGATGAGGTTTCACCATGTTGGCCAGGCTGGTCTCGAACTCCTGACCTCAGGTGATCTGCCTGCCTCAGCTTCCCAAAGTGCTGGGATTACAGGCGTGAGCCACCGTGCCCGGCCACAAGCTTTATTTCCTTTTTTTTTTTTTTTGAGACGGAGTCTGGCTCTGTCGCCCAGTCTGGAGTGCAGTGGCGCAATCTAGGCTCACTGCAAGCTCCACTTCCCAGGTTCACACCATTCTCCTGCCTCAGCCTCCCTAGTAGCTGGGACTACAGGTGCCCACCACCACGCCCAGCTAATTTTTTGTATTTTCAGTAGAGACAGGGTTTCGCCGTGTTAGCCAGGATGGTCTCGATCTCCTGACCTCATGATCCTCCCGCCTCAGCCTCCCAAAGTGCTGGGACTACAGGAGTGAGCCACCGCGCCCGGCCCACAAGCTTTATTTCTAATTGTGTGTGCAACACATTCTACTGGCATTTGAGACTTTGCCAAGTCAATCTTGTCAGTTGTTTATTCATTCACTCATTCATTCATTCAAACATTTATTGAGCACCTACTCTGTGCCAAGCACTGTGTTACCAGATATATAGCAGCAGCAAAACAAATACAGCTTCTGCCCTCATTGTTCTTAATAGGGGGCAGGGGAGACAGACCAGAAAAAGGTAAACAAATAACAAATAAAGGTATAATTACATATGTAGGAAAGTAATCTGAATGTGAAAAAAAATGAAATCATTAAGTTTCTGATAGAGAAGAACAAGAGGGACTGGATTTAGAGAGAGCACGTGGGGAACCCCGCCTGAGGAGATGATGTTTAAGCATAAATATGAAGAAACAGGAGTTGACCAGGGGTAAAGTACTCCAAACCATAAAGAAGGATCTTGGGCAAGGCAAGAAGCATTTCAACAATTGCAAAGAAGCTACTGTAATTGGAGCCCAAGAGTGAGCAAAGGTGAATGCGGTGCAAGATGGGATTGGAAAGGTAAGGAAGTACTAGACTGTGCAGGGTCACAAACAAAGCTGGGGTCTAAGCCAAAGACATAGTTGGGGTCCTTTCCAAGTGCAACAAAAACCACAGGAGGGTTTTAAGTGGATGCTGTCATATGATCTGGCTTACAATGTTTAAAGTTCATTCAAGATTGCCAAGTGGAGAACTGGCTAAAGGAGACAAGAGAAGAAGCAAGCAGACCCATTAGGAGGAGGCTGTTTCCATTCTCAAGCACACGCTGGTGGCAAGCTGGATGAGCAAGGGGCAGAGATAGTGACAGAAAGGACATAGTGAGAGATATTTTGGAGGTAAATACTTCAGAACTTGCAGATGTGAGAGTGAGGGCAACAGAAGGATGAATGTCAACCCTCAGATTTTCTGTTTAACCAGCTGGGCATATAAATGTGAATTTTACTGAGATGGGAAAAGATGGAGAATAAAGTGGATTAGGGAACAGAGAAATCAGAAATTCCATTTTGGACTTGTTACTTGGGAGCTATCAAGGAAGCCTGGTGTCCCAGCACTTCTTTCTGAGCTTTCTTCCCATTCTTCCCTAACAATAACTCTCTGATAATCAATTTGGACTTTTTCCTGTCCCCCAAAGGCCTCCAACAGTAGGAAAAATCTTTCTCTCTGCATGATTTTACTCCCTATTTTCTACCTACCAAAATCGTATTGATCTACTCCCACCCTGCATTTACCATCAAGTTATTTATATCATTCATTTGAAGCGCCACATGACAGTAATGAATGGGAGTTACGAGTAAAAACTTTGGATTCACTCACATCTGGGTTTTAACCCTGGCTCTGCTATTTGCTGGTTGTATGATAAATTGAGCAAACCATTTAACCTCTTTGAGCCTCAGTTTATTATCTGTAAAATGACATAGTCAACCCACCATGGCAGACACTGCTATTTATGTTCCCAATGTAAGTTCTCTCCTCATTTTTCCTTCTTATAGAGCCCCAGTTTTGTTCAGGGTAACAATGTGCCCAGCTAAAATGCTCAAGCAACTGGCTTCCTTAAAGCTGATGGTAGCCTACTGACATTGTTCTGGCTAATAGTATATAAGAGGAAGTATTCTTGAATTTCTGGGAAAACATTCCTTTTCTTATATAAGTGCCCCACGCCCGTTACACCATCCTTCATCCTGCTTTACACACAGATGTGATGCTTGAATGGGCAGCAACTATGACTGTGGAGCTAAGGGCTGTAGAGCAGAAATATGGAGGAGACTGTGTCCCAGGTGGTCCTAACCAGGGCAACAAACTCTAGGCTTTTTGTAGCATGATATAAATAACCTCCTTACTTGTTTAAGCCAGTATATATTTTTTTGGCTTTTCTGTTGCCAGTCAGCAAATACATTTTAACAAACCCATCTACTTCATGGGCTGATTTGGTAAGTATTAAATAAGCAATGTCTATACAACGCTCAGTAGCTGCTGAGAATTATTATGCTACTCTTACCTTGCTATTTAAATCATTTTGGTATATATGTGCCTTGTTCCCTCAATAGACTGTTACATGACCTCAAGACAGAGATTTCTGTAGCGTTTGGTAATCCCTTCCCACACATAATGGGTGCTCAACAAATCCATTGACAAGGTGGCCACCCTTTCCTTTTCTGGAGAATATCAGCCCAAATTTTCTTTATCGTCCTCTTTTCTCCATCTATTGCTTTAGTTTTCATCAGCAGTGCCAGCTTCAAAGAGATGTTTTTCTGTAATCTTTTTAAAAAAATAAACGTTTTTATGTATATTTAAGGTATATAACATGTTAAGGGATATACAGAGATAGTAAAAAGGTTATTATAGTGAAAACAAATTAACATAGTCGTCATTTCACATAGTTACCCATGGCAAGAGCAGCTAAAATCTACTCATTTACAGTGAATTCTATACACAGCACAATTTAATTACCTAAGATCTTCATGTTGTAGATGAGATTTCTAGACTCGTTCATCCTACATATCTACCACTTTCTATCCTCTGACCCACATGTCCCCATTTCGTCTTCACTCTCTACCCCTGCCTCAGTAATCACTGTTTTGTTCTCTGTCTCTAAATATTTTCAATGTATTTACTTTATTTATTTATTTTTTTTGAGACAGAGTCTCACTTTGTCACCCAGGCTGGAATGTAGTGACATGATCATGACTCACAGCAGCCTCGACCTCCTGGACTCAAGCTATCCTCCCACCTCAGCCTCCTCAGTAGTTGGGACTACAGGTGGGTGCCATCATGCCTGGCTATCTTTTAAATTTGTTTTGTAGAGATAGGATCTCACTATGTTACCCAGGCTGGTCTCAAGTGATTCTCCCACCTCAGCCACCCAAAGTGCTGGGATTACAGGCATGAGTCACAGGGCCCAACAGTGAATTTGTTTTTAGATTCCACATGTGACAGCATATTCTACATGTGAGGTCATATTCCACATATGAGATCATGCAGTATTTGTATTTCTGTGTCTGGCTTATTTCACTTAGTATAATATCCTCCACGCTCATCCATGTTGTGGCAAATGGCAAGATCTTGCTCTTTTTTAGGGCTGAATAATATTCCATTGTATATACACACCACAGTTTCTTTATCCATTTGTCCACTGATTGACACTTAGGTTGTTTCCATATCTTGGCTATTGTAAATAATTCTGCAGTGAACATGGGGGTGAAGATATCTTAAAAAGGTGGTGATTTCATTATCTCTGGGTTTATGCCCAAAAGAGGGACAGCTAGATCAAATGGTAGTTCTATTTTTTCCTACAGTCTTATTTTTTTGTAAGATTTACCCCAGTGGCCTCTCATGCAGGCCTGATCTTTCCAAAAAAACTAGAGAATGGTTTGGGAATAATCTCAGTAACTGTCATTTCTCACACACTAGTCTTTGATGGTGGTTCAGACATTGTGGAATGGTCTTTAGGATTTTCACCTCTTTAGTAGAGCTGCCTATGGCTTCTTTCTTTCTTCACCCACTCTCTTAAAGTAAAAAAAACATGAGTCAGAGTCATCACTAAAGAGAAAAGTCAAACAGTATTAATGCTCTAGAGACATCAAAAGTATTATGAAAAGGAAGTGTTTGAGTGGAAAATATCCACCTATGGAAATAAAACTGCCAGCATCTGAGCGTAAGTATGAAACCCAGTTAATGGATGTGAGAAATGGTGAGAAGCTCTTTACCATGGAGTCAAGTCTCTGGCAAATGATCTTGGATGAATCCAGTTTGCACTGGGATTTGAAACTTTCCATGCTCTTGTATTTCATCAGCTGCTTTGAGTTACTTTTAAAGAAACACATTTTTAATGAGAAATTTTTGACAGAGAATAAATGCAGATGTAATTCTTTGGAACAATTGTTTCCTTTGTTGATGGATTTTTTTTCCACAGTGCCCACTCACAATTAAATAAAACAGTAATTAAAACCCTAAATCCACTCAAAATTATTGTTTCATCAGTCACCTCCAGAGATCCTTCTAATGTCTTTGTGGAAAGAATGTCTTAACAGAGATGCAATGTGCTAAGACACAAAGCCTTAGATTTTTCAAACTTGGAGTAATAAATTCTAAATACGCAAGAACTTTTTAAGTGACTAGAAAATTATTACAATGAAATAAAAACCCAAGGCTATACGCCATAGGATAGCTTAATCCCCTTGGGAAAAAAAAAAGACTGTTTTTTTTTTTTTGAGATTTTTATACAAATTACAAAAACATTGAAAAATTTAGTGATATATATGTTACAGACATAGACCAATACACTTCTCTTCATGCAGACATGAAACTCAGCCTAATTTAGCCATGACATAGTGCATCTTTCTGGGTATCTCCCTAATGGAGACAGGGTGTATTTAAATCTGATGTTCACTCATCAATTGAGTCTTTGAAGCTTCTTAAACTGATTCAAGAATGAGTTCTCCTCCCCTATTTCTTCCTCCTCCTCACTTCCTTCTCCTTCTCTGGCATTCTCCACTTTCCTAAAAGTACCATTATCCTGCCAACAACACAAGCAGGCAACTTCCAAGGGTAACACAGACTGCTTCTTTTCAAGGCCTACTTGAGCCATTTCTCTGTAATTTAATTTCTTTTTCATCTGCTCTCTTCCTGTTCTCCTTTTATTAAAACTACATTATTATTGTTATTATTATTATTGATTGAAATGGGGTTTCCCTTGTCACCCAGGCTGGAGTGCAGTGGTGAGAACATAGCTCACTGCAGCCTCAACTTCCTGGACTGAAGCCATTCTCCCGCCTCAGCCTCCCATGTAGCTGGGACTTCAGGCACATGCCATCACTCTCAGCTAATTAAAAAAAATTATTTGTAGAGATGGGGGTCTCACAGCATTGACCAGGCTCGCCTCAGACTCCTGGACTCAAGGGAACCTCTCACCTTAGCCTTCTAAAGTGTTGGGATTACAGGCATGAGCCACCACACCCAGCCTATTTTCTTATCTTGCGCCAGATCTCCCAATGTCCACTCCTTCCTCACTCTAATCCTCACAACACAGTGTTTCCAAGTTAATATTCCTAAAGGCAGCTAATGAATCACTCCCTCCCTCACTCATGAAACTCTGATACTCACTTTGCCTGCCTAGAGGCCATTACAGGGGTTAAGCCGCAATTTACTTTTTTGGTTTAACATGCGTCTTCCTCCATTTGTGTACCCTTAGCCCCACAGCTAAACTGAATTGTCCTTAGTTTTCCACACATAGTGGCCTCGACCCTCTCCAGATCTTCACTCATGCTATTTTCTCCACAAGGGATGCCACTGCTCTCAAGTCAGCATATCTAAATCCTATCCACCCTTCAATTCCCAATTCAAGAAAAGAATACCCTATGAATTGGGCCTTGAAGGATGGCTGCAGGTTCATAAGAATCCTAGAGTGTTCAGAAAATTTCTAGAGCTGATGTCTATCACATTCAAGCTTTCTCTTTCTGCACTCAGCTGATTTCAGACATTTCTCTAAAATGCTCATTTCCTACTATTAATTCTTACCTTTTTTTCCCCTTTGATCTTTTGTTTACTGAGCAAATGAACTGAGAAGTGAGTATCGCTCATATAAAGAGTTCTGGAGGTGCAAGTGGATATGTCAGAGACAGTCTACCCAGCATCATTTGTAAATTACCAATCACTCACATCTTGAAAGCATTAGTTAAAACCTTCTTGAGGTGATGGAAGATAGTCATGCCTCTTGAGTAGGAGTGTGAAGAGATCTCAGCCCTGCCAGTAAACCCTAAATCCTCAAGCTCTGGGCATTCCCATCCTGCACCAAGAAATTCACACTCCAATTCTATAAGGTTTCCTATGATGAGGAAAACAAATTAAAAGTAACTGGCTGGCACTAAAGACAGAGTTTTAAAGTTTCCACTGCCTGCCTAAATGTGGATTTCCCACATTGCCCATATCTTAGGCCAGGTCTTTTGATTGCAAGAACACTCAAGTTGACACATACAAAGGATTAATATTATGAGAATACATAGGAATCTCATAGATTCCCAAAGACGGTAAACTATAATACATCCTGGTGCCTCATGAGAACTGGAGCTTGGGAAGCAATAGGAACCATGGCCACTTAATGTGTAGGACTTCTCTGCTTTTCTCAGCACATCTGTTTTCTTCTCTTTCTTACCATCCACTGTCCTCTGCTTTCTCAGTCTTTTCTCCCTCAAAACTTTAACTTGTACTTGGTCTCTTAAGATCCAGCCTGCCCCAACTTCACCTGTGATACCTAACTGGCTTAGTCTCTCAGTGTTCCAATTCTTCCTTGCTGAGAGAGCAATGTGATTCGTTTAAAAGCATTTGGGGGTCCAGGTACGGTGGCTCATGCCTGTAATCCCAACACTTTGGAAGGCTGAGATGGGCAGATCACTTGAGGTCAGGAGTTCAAGACTAGCCTGGCCAACATGGCAAAATGCTGTCCCTACTAAAAATACAAAAATTAGCCTGGCATGGTGGCACATGCCTGTAATCCCAGCTACTCAGGAGGCTGAGGCACAAGAATTGCTTGAACCGGGGAGGTGGAGGTTGCAGTGAGCTGAGATCATGCCACTACACTCCAGCCTGGGTGACAGACCAAGACTCTGCCTCTAAAATAAAAATAATAGAATAAATAAAAGCATTTGGAGGAAGGTCACTAGCCTATGGTTGGGTCACCCTTAAGTTAGCTTGTTATGTATATGTGTGAATAGGGGCAGTAGGAATGGGGATAAATACCATAACTATGACCACTCACTGTGAGCAGCTTTTCCTCTCAGAAGGGAGCTGTGGTTAGGGCAGGCTGTGAGACTCTTCACTGGTTCAAGTGGCAAAGGTGCTGGAGGTCTTGAGTGTGGCAGCCCGGAAGTCTTATCAGAGTTTCCTAGATCTACCTCCATGGAATATACTGTTGGGTAGCAAGAACATCCTGAATACTCTCTCACAATTTGGGAAACTAGCCTACTAGGCTCATCTCTAGGGCCTAGTTTTTAGGCCATTGTCTTATCCTGTAGTTAAATACTAAGAAAGACATTTGCAATCATGCACTAATGGAAAGATGGCTCAACTTCCATGACTGCTACATACTTAAAAAAGAGAGAGAGAGAGGTAGAGAGAGTTTCCCACACATAATTCATTAGCCTTGTGTTTAGTTAGAAAGGTTCAGGATGTTCCTTGTGGAAATTGTGAGCATAGGCGTCAACTGGGCACATTCATCAAACAGTATCCACAAAAAAAGCATTTGCCCATGGCCATCGAAAATCCTGAGACTTAGTTCTAAGAGTTTAAGCTTTAAAGAAAATTGCCAAGTATGGTGTATTTCAGAATCAAATCCCCTACTCAAAAAGCAAACACACGCTATGGGGAGGGAGTACAGAAGCTACATCAGAGAGAATCTTCATTAATTCTTCCCCTGCATCCCTTTTTGGCATTTTGAACTGGCAAAGAGAAAACCTGTGATGTCTGTGCCTGGTTATTTCATCGATAAAGAGCCAGGGTCATGGTTTCTATCCTGTTACCCAATTGGCTTCGTTTTGTCCAATGGCTACAGCATGTACCTTGCACTCTAGCCAGAAAGCTGACTCTCTGCAGGGCCTTGTTTTATTTGGGGATGGACTGGGATTTTGGAGAGTGATGAAAATTTTTTTAACATGATGGGAAAGACAAAAAAAATAAACAACTAGAAAAGCACACTTCTGTCTATCCATTTTGCCATCTTCACTGGCTGAAGACACCCTTTTGCTTGTCAGGGTCTTGCTGTTCATCCTGCACTGCAAAGACAATAGGGTGATGATGAAAGAAAACCATGGAGAAAAGGATGACGGTGATCTCCCTCAATTAGGAAATCTATTTATTTTAATAAGTCAAGGGGGGTGAAGGAAGACCTTCTGAATAAAGGTCAAAAAGGAATTTGATAATAATTCAACAGCAATACATAGTTTTTTAAAAATTACTTAGTAACCTAGAAGTAAAGGGAACAAAGATATAACTCAAATGAGATAAAAAATGTCTACAAAACCAGCAGCAAATATTCTATACATGTACAAAATTGAGCCCTATTAACTTTAGTAATAAGGATACCCTCTGTCCCCATACACATTCAACATGGTCTGAAATCTCTAGCCAATAAAATAAGATCATGGAAAGGAAAAAAAAAGATATCCTTTTTGGAAAAGAGATACAAATTTTTATTGTTGTTTTGTTTTGAGACAGTGTCTCACTCTGTCACCCAGGTTGGATGTAGTGGCGTGATCTCGGCTCACTGCAGCCTTGACCTCCCAGGCTCAAGCCATCCTCTCATCTCAGCCTCCCAAGTAGCTGGGACTACAGGTGCATGCCATCACACTCAGCTAATTTTGTTCATTTTTTTGTAGAGACAGGATCTTACTATGTTGCCTAGGCTCAAAGTCTTGGGCTCAAGGGATCCCCCTGCCTTGGCCTCTCAAAGTGCTGGGATTACAGGTGTGAGCCATTGCACCGAGCCTAAAGTTGCTTTTATATAATATCATTCCCTTTCTAAAACACTCAGAACAATTAATACAAAACTATTAGTCCAAAAAAAGATAATTTAATGGGGCAGAAAGTTATAAAACAGGCATAAAATTTTTCTTAAATACAGCAGCAACTATACTGGAATTGGTTCAAGATAATAGACTGAACACAGATGACCGCTGATCCTCCCATCCAAATATTTTTAATATTACAAGGATAAGCCCAACAAGCCCTGGAAAATAGGAGAAAGTCTCATCAGTGACTAGAAATCATGAGTAATTGTTTGAAAATAGAAACATATGCAAGAGAAAAATACTATAAAGACTAGAAGAGCACACAACAACCTCAATTGAGATTGAATAGACACAAGGACTGGAAGGTGCCTTGGGTCAATCAACTTGTGATTAATACTTCATAAGCAAATTTCACTAATGAGCTCATACAAATAGACTATTTGAAAAACTGAATCCAGCAGATTATTAAGAGAATAAAATGTTATGACAAAGTAGAATTTACTCTGTGTATTCTAAGTAAAATATGTAGAATTTATTTTATGTATTCTATGTAGAATACAGGTAGAATATTCCTGTACAGGTAGAATACAGGTAGAATAACAATAACAGATCAAAGTAAATGATATACAAATTTCAATAGTGCTTAAAAGCACTTGGTAAATTTCAATACACATTTCAATTTTAAAAGGAAAGAAACTTAGAAAAGGAATAAGAGGACATTTCTTTAACTTAACAAAAGTTGGAAGGGAATATAGTAGAAGCCTATAGAAAGCACCATTTTAATGCCAAAACATTTTAAAATTCCCATTAAAGTAAAAGATATGGTCCAGGCACAGTGGTTCACACCAGTAATCTCAGCACTTTGGGAGACTGAGGTGGGAAGATTGATTGAGGCCGGGAGCTGGAGATCAGCCTGGGCAACATAGTGAGACCCTGACTCTACGAAAATAAAAAATTTACTGGGCATGGTGGTGCACACCTGTAGTCCATGCTACTTGGGGGGCTGAGGTGGGAGGATCTCCTGAGCCCAGGATGTTGAGGCTGCAGTGAGCTGTGATCCTGGTACTGCACTCCAGCCTGGGTAATAGAGTGAGACCCTGTCTCAAAAATAAACAAATAAATAATACAAAGCACCAGAAAACCTGCCATCCCTGCAATCGATAAATATTTTACTAGCCATGCTAACAAATTAAATAAGATAGGAAAAAACTTTTAATGAAATATGTATATGAGAAAGGAAAAGACGTGATGATTCTTTGAAGATAATATAATTGTCTACATAAAGTAACAAATTAGGGGAATAAACTAAGAAATTTCTGAAACTCATCTGAGAGTAAATATGGCTAGTACAAGACCACAAAATTTAATAGAATATCTAATTGTCTATAATAATCAGTTAGAAAGTTAAAAGAAAAAAGATACTGTACTATTCCTAAAGCAACAAACTTGGAATAAACCCAAGAAGAAACATTCAAGAATAATATGAATGACATAAAAGAAAATCTAAATAAATGAAATATACTGTTGTTTTAAATAGAAATTGTGGCGGGTGAAGCAACTTCACTTTGGATGCTACTTCACCAGGTTGGCTTCTGATTAACCCCAGTTCCAAGAGGGCTCTGAGAGTTCCAGTTTCTCTACATTGTCCCTTGCATAAAAGCAGGTACTTACTACTATAAATCCTGCCTGTAGGTCAAACAATCTTGATGTTCTCGTACTTCAATGGCGCTACACATCTCTTCCAAACCACCCCTCTCCTATGGTATATAAGCCCTGGGCCTCAGGGGTAATGGCACAAAGAACTCACCATCTCATCCTGCCCTGTCTGAGACCCAGACATGGCTTCTGTTCCTAAATCCCTGTTAAAGGTTTCTTTCTGAGAAACTAGATTTGTCAGCCTCTTTCTTCGGCCTCTCAGCTTCCTTGAACTTTAGGATAGGTTTGCATACATCTGCCCACTGCAAAACAGAAAATACATTTTTTAATCAAAATTCCAACACAAACTTTTCTGGAAGTTGACGAACTGCTTCTAAATTTTATATAAAAGAAAATGAGGGTTGGGCATGGTGACTCACATCATAATCCCAGCACTTTGGGAAGCCGAGACAGGAGGATCACTTGGGGCCAGGAGTTTGAGACCAGCCAGGGCACCACAGTGAGACCTCATCTCTACCTCTACCAAAAAAAATAAAAAATAAAAAAATTAGCTGGGCATGGTGGAGAATGCCTGTAGTCCTAGATGCTAGGGAGACTGGGGCAGGAGGACTGCTTGAACCCAGGAATTGGAGGCTGCAATGAGCTATGTTTGAGCACAACACTCCAGCCTGGGAGATAAAGCAAAATCCTGTCTCTAAAAATTAATGAATTAATTAATTAATTTTAATTTTTAAAAAGAAGATGAATGAGAGAAGCCAATAATTTTTTAAATAACAGTAAGGGAAAACTTTTTTTTTTTTTTTTTGAGATGGAGTCTTGCTCTGTCCCCCACGCTGGAGTCCAGTGGTGCAATCTTGGCTCACCACAATCTCTAACAAAAAGCCAAGGTTAAAATAGGTAGTATTAGCTAATGAATAAAGAGTTAGCCCACTGATACAAAATATTCAAAAATGCTACATGTCTATGGGAGCTTAAAAATTATAAAAGTAAGCCAAGCGTGGTGGCTTATGCCTGTAATCCCAGCACTTTGGGAGGCCAAGGCAGGCGGATCATGAGGTCAGGAGTTCGAGACCAGCCTGGCCAACATAGTGAAACCCCATCTCTACTAAAAATACAAAAAATTAGCCAGGCATGGTGGCAGATGCCTGTAATCCCAGCTACTCAGGAGACTGAGGCAGGGGAATCGCTTGAACCTGGGAGGTGGAGGTTGCAGTGAGCCGAGATCGCGCCATTGCACTCCAGCCCGGGCAACAGTGCGAGACGCTGTCTCAAAAAAAAAAAAAAAAAAAAAAGATTGTAAATAAAGTAGCATTTCATGGGGAAAGTATAGTTATGATATTATAAAAATGGATATTCATTAGATCACTACCTCGTGCCATACTAAAAATAAATTCCAGATTGATTAAAGAACAAAATATTTTAAAATAAAGTGTAAGGTTAAAATACAAAAAGTATTTTTTTAATCTTATAAATCTTTCATGTGGGTCAGAAAACCCAGAAGCCAAAACCAAAAATGATGGCATCAATTGTATAAAAATTTAAATATGTGTCTGATAAGCACCATAAAAATGTTAAAAGACAATCAACGGACTGAGAAAACATATAACCAACAATGCATAACTACTTACGATTCAGAAAAACTAATTACAAATAAGTAGGGAAAAGACAGGCAACTGCATTGAAAATAAGCAAAAAATTAGAGCAAGCAAGTCACACAAGAAATACAAATAGATGATTTGCTTTAAACATAAGATTTGCTTAACCTCACTAGAGTCAAAGAAATGCAACTTAAAACAGTAAAAATAACTTTTCCCTAAAATATAAAGAATAAAAAGATTAATAGCATCCAATATCAGCAAAGTTATAAAGAAACTTTATTACTAGAAGTAAAATTTAAAATCCCTGGCAAAATCCTTTTGCAGAGCAATTTGAAAGCATGTGACTAGCATTTCCACAATTTCGGAAAATACAAAGAAGCTTGTATAAAGATATTAATTGTAATTGAAGTATTTTATTTAATTGTAGTACATCTCTTTTATAAACTCAAGTCTGCTGACATCATAGGCACTTCTCTTTACCATTCCTCACTGCTAGGCCAGTGGGTTGATTTTTCAGCTTCTGTTGCTAAGAATTCAGTGTTCTAAGAGGCACAGAATATAACAACAGCAAAATTCATCACCTACTTCATTGCCCAGTCTCAGCAGCAGTTTGACTATTCTAAGGGTCAGCTCAGAGTGCCTGTGCTGACCGTGATGGCTTCAACATGAATGCTACTATGACCCAGTTGATAACAAGAAATTGGAAAGTGAAGATCCCCACTGTTTATTGAAATTTCTGCCTATGGATGCAACTCAATTCAAAAAGCATTTATGTAGACACTGCATGGAGTCAGGTTGCCGAGGATGCATGGATAAGCAAGACACAATTTGTGACCTCAAGGAATGTATGTCTTTGTTTTTGCTTTCTACTTAGATGCTTAGTGATAATTGTGATTCCCTGGGCAAAAGCTAGTTTTTCTAAACTAGTGTTTCTCAAAGTAAAGTGTCAGGACCAGCAGCATCAGCATCTCCTGGGAATGTGTTAGAAATGCTGATGCTCAGCCAGGCGCGGTGGCTCATGTCTGTAATCCCAGCACTTTGGGAGGCCGCAGTGGGCAGATCAGCTCAGGTCGGGAGTTCGAGACCAGCCTGGCCAACATGGCGAAACCCCGTCTCTACTAAAAATACAAAAATTAGCTGGGCGTGGTGGTGCGCGTCTGTAATCCTAGCTACTCGGGAGGCTGAGGCAGGGGAATCGCTTGAACCCAGGAGGTGAATATTGCAGTGAGCCGAGATCGCACCACTGCACTCCAGCCTTGGAGACAGAGTGAGACTCCATCTCAAAAAAAAAAAAAAAAAAAAGCTGATGCTCAGGCCCAAACCCAAACCTACTGAATCAGAATCTCTGAGGGGCAGTGGGGGATGATCCAGGTGATTCTGATACACAATTAAGTTTGAGAACCACTACTCACTACTCTATTGGAAGCATTTAAACAATGCCTAGATTTTTTTCCTTGCAAAAAATTTGTTTAAGATTACTTGTGAAAACAAAAGACACCACTGTATAATTTGTATATGGTATTTGAGTGGCACACATTTTGCACATATGGCTTCTGGAAGCATACCATTATTATGAAGCTACCCTATATGGAATGTTCCTTTCGTGGAACTTATTCATTTATTCCTTGATCAGTGCATGATTTATTTCTTGAGTTCCTATTTATCTGACATTATAGATAACATTGCAATGAACAACTTCATATCATATATATAAGGCTTTTTTCTGAATTAGTAACATGGGATAAATGTTCAGGCATGGGATAACTTCGTGGGGAAAAAGAAGAGGGGCATCTTTATTATTCATGCTGCATGTTGTCATGCTGCTTTCCAAACAGGTTTGTCCTCAAATGATGCCAGCTGCCCTGTGAGTGTAAGTTTTATCACCCACTTCCCCACATAGGGCATAATCATTCAATTTTGATATGATTATGTATAAAATGTTGCCTCGAGGCTGCTCTATTCTACTTTCTTTGCTTTCTAATGAGGTTGTAGATGTTTCCCACGTGTTTCTTTAATATTCACATTACTGCTTGTGTGACGCATCTGTGGATGATTACTTGGTTATCAAAAATAGCACTTCTAAAAATACCCACTCAAGAAGTCCCTACTACACCCTGGGAACAGAATTGTGTTCCGGGTGTTCAAGAGTGTGGAATTAAGCTCCTTAAAGATAAGGAATAATTTCTGAGTCAGTAGGTAGAGCTTCTATAGTAGTATGTGAGTTTGGCCAGGATTGCTGCTAGCAGTCTGTATGAATTAGAAAATAATAACAATAATAAGCCAAGGGCAGTGGCTAATGCCTGTAATCACAGCACTTTGGGAGGCTGGGTCAGGAGGATTGTTTAAGGCCAAGAGTTCAAGACCAGCCTGGGCAACATAGTGAGACCCTGTCTCTTTAAAAGAGAGAGAGAGAGAGGTCTCTTTGCAGTCCTATGCCCCAGGCATGAGTTTGATGAACAGAGGATTTTCGGTCCCCATTTGTTCCCTAGCCCAGGTGCCCTTGAACAGTGAACAAGCTGCTTGACCTTATCCTACCACTCAGAGTCTGTCACTCCAAGTTCCTATGCAGAACTCCTCATTTTCTGAAAACCAAAATGAAGCAGAAGGAATCCTGCCATTTCCTCATTTCTAAGGCCTAAGTTTCCTGCACGGTGGCTTCAGGTTTGAGTGGCGTCCCCACCACTTCTGATTGTCTTTTCTGTGGTTTGGAAGGAAGCACTGTGCTTAGGCAGGTTGGATCCTAATAAGGACCCAGGAGTTGGAGATCATCTCTTGCCATGGCTCTTGAAAATAAGTGCCACGTGTGTCACTGTTTCCCATTAGTGACAGTGGAGAGCATATTGCTAAGGTCATTCCAGCAACCTAAGGAGACTCTCTCCCTACAGCTCTCCTTCCCATCGACTTTGGCACTTTCAAAGATCTCTCTACCTCTACCTCGCCTCATGCCTGACCACTGACCTCTTACTAATTCTCCTTATTCTTCCAGATGTTGACACTCCTTTGTACCATCAGCATAACACACTCAAGCCTTTCCCAGGTTACAACAAATATCCTTTCAGCCTTTCTTCTAGCTACTGACCTTTCCCCTTCTCTTAATAGCTGAACTTCTAAATGATTCCTATACAATAGCCTGAAAGTACATGTCCCCTCAAAATTTATATGTTGGAATACTGTGTTAGTCTGTTCTCACAGTGCTAATGAAGACATACCTGAGACTGGGTAATTTATAAAGGAAAGAGGTTTAATGGATTCACAGTTCCACATGGCTGGGGAGGCCTCACAATCATGGCAGAAGGCGAATGACAAGCAAAGTCATGTCTTACATGGCAGTAGGCAAGAGAGAGCATGTGCAGGGGAACTCACCTTTATAAAACCATCAGATCTCATGAGACATATTCACTGTCACAAGAACAGCACAGGAAAGACCTGCCCTTATCATTCAATTACCTCCCACCAGGTCCCTCCCACAACGCAGCGGAATTATGGGAGCTACAATTAGAGATTTGAGTGGGGACAAAGCCAAACTATACAAAATACTAATACCCAATGTGATAGCATTAAGAGGAGGAATGTTTTAGGAAGTAATTAAGTCATGAGGGCTTAGTGACCTTATTTTCAACAGGTTGAAAGGAGTTGCCTTGCCCTTTCTGCTCTGTGAGGACACATAGAAGGCACCATCTCTCAAGAATGAGCCCTCACCAGACACGAAATCTGCTGGTACCTCAATCTTGGACTTCCCAGCCTCCAGAACTGTGAGAAATAGATTTCTGTTGTTTGTAAATAACCCAGCCTAGAGTATTTCCTTATAACAGCAGAAATGGACTAAGACACTACTTCTTCACCTCCCATTCACACTCAGCCCATGGTAATCTGGCTTCCAATACAATAATTCCTCTAGACCAGCAGCTTAACTCCTTAACTGCCAAACCCAACAGACATTTTTCAGTCCTATTTTAATTTGTTTAGACTTGAAATTGTTGATCATACCTCCCTCCTTGAAGCTTTCTCTTCCTCACTTTTCTTGATTCCATCACATGAGAATATGTATGTTCCATAAAGACAGAGATCTGTCTGTGTTTTTCACTAACATATCCCAATACCCAGAACAGTGCTTGACCCATAATGGACTCTAAATAAATATTTATTAAATTAATTAGTTATTCGTTCCTCATTCTCTTATTAATCTAGACATTCTCTCAGTGTCCTTCTACCTCAGTGCTCAGCTTTGAAAGACCAAATAACTAGCCTGGCGCAGTGGCTCACACCTGTAATCCTAGCACTTTGGGAGGCCGAGGCAGGCGGATCACCTGAGGGCAGGAGTTCAAGACCAGCCTGGCCAACATGGTGAAATCCCATCTCTACTAAAAATACAAAAATTAGCCAGGCATGGTGGTGCGCACCTGTAATCCCAGCTACTCGGGAGGCTGAGGCAGGAGAATCACTTGAACTCGGGAGGTGGAGGTTGCAGTGAGCCGAGATCACGCCACTGCACTCCAGCCTGGGCGACAGAACAAGACTTCATCTCAAAATAAATAAATAAATAACAATAAAGACCAAATAACTGAATGCCAACTTCATTGCTACTTCTGGCACCCCTGAACTTGTGCATACTGACAACCATGTGATCACATAGGTTTCCATCATATTTGACCACATCACAGTAGTATAGAAAAAGTCTGTCATTCAGATTTATTGTTAACATCAAAATACTCACTTTCAAATATAAACGTTTGACATGTAACAGAGTGAAAATCTTGAAAACTATATATGCAGAAATTCTATCAGTTAGTTGAAAAATATGTATTACTACAAAAGTAAAATTATAATAATGTCAGTTGTGAAAAGCTGTCTATTTTCACATACAAAAACAATTAAAATATTTCAAATAGTTAAATAAGGAAATATAATATAAATACTAACTGATTTATAATAGTTTATAAGTGTAAATGGTATACTAGCTAGATATCTTTAGCAAGAATATTACATCCTTTGAATCAAAACATGTTTATATTGGCTGGGTGCAGTGGCTCATGCCTGTAATCTCAGCACTTTGGGAGGCCTAGGCAGAAGATCACTTGAAGCCAGAAGTTCAAGACCATTCTGGGCAACATAGCAAGACCCTCTCTCCACAAAAAAAGTTTTTTTTAAAATGAGTCAGGTGTGGTGATGTGTGCCTGTAGTCCCAACTACTTGGGAAGCTGAGGCAGAAGGGTTGCTTGAACCTATGAAGCTGAGGCTGCAGTGAGCCATGATCATACCACTGCACTGCAGCCTGGGTGACAGAGAGACCCAGTCTCAAAAAAAAGCTTATGAAATTTTAAATAATAATAACACAAGTCAAAATGGTAAAGGTAAGATATAATGTTAGTCTTTGTGGGATTTCTTGGTATAGTTGCCCAAGTCAGAAACCTTGGAGTCATGCTGGACCTGGCCTCCAATCTCACCAACTACAGCCAACCATCTTTCAGATGCTGTTGACTCTATGTCCTAAATAGCAATTTATTATCTCCCCTACTTTTCTCTATCCCCACTTCCACTGCCCCCAGCTGAGATATTCATGTTTTCACCCAATTTCTTATGTCACTCTGTGTTATTAGGATAGGCTGAGCAATGGCAACAGATCCAAATACACAATGACTCAACTTATAAGTAAACACATAAATGTTTACTTCTGGCCCACTTAACAGTCCAGTATGTGTTTCAAGACAGTAGGGAGGCCTATTCTGGTGACAGCACTAGTATCTCCATGACTTGGTTTCCAAGATCTCAACTCAGTCAGCCAGCATAAAACCCAGCACACGTGAGGTTTTAATGGGCCTGGACAGAATACAACACAACTCACTTTTGCACACATTCCATAGACTAGACTAAGGTCACATGACCACACCTAACTGCAAGAGAGACTGAGATGTGTGGTCTGGCTGTGTATCCAGGCAGAAGTACATTTGGTGAAAACAGCTGGTGTTCTCTGCCAAATATCTTTTATTTATTCATTTTTCACATTGCTACCAGAGTGGCCCAACATTGAACCTAGATCATATTTGGTGAGTGAGTGAATGAGTGAATGAGCAAGTGATCAGATCAGCTATCAAGATCCTCCTCAAAATTCTCCAATGCCTCTTCATCAACTATAGGGTAAAAATGGTAACTTCTTACTTTTACTGTTCTGCTACTGATTACCTTTCTAGCCTCATTTCATGTCATTCTTCCCCTCTCATACTAGTATTAATGAAACTGGACCATTTGTCGTTGCTTAAATAAGCCATATTTTCTCGTATGTTATGTCTTTACATGTACATTTCTCACTTTTTCACCTGTAAAACTTCCACATATCCCTCAAGCCTCAGCTCAAGAGTCCCTTCATGTTAGGAGCATTCTAGTTCCACTCTTTAATTATACTTAGATATACAATAAATTTTTTCTTCTTTTTGAGACAGGGTCTCACTTTGCCACCCAGGCTAGAGTACAGTGACGTGATCACAGCTCACTGCAGCCTCAATCTCTGGGCTCAAGTGATCCTCCTACATTGGCCTCCCTAGAAACTTGGACCACAGGTGCATGTCACCATGCCCAGCTAATTTTTTTTTATTTTTTGTAGAGACAGGGTCTCACTATGTTGCTCAGGCTATACAATAAATTATGTTAACAATAGTCACCCTATTGGCCAGGTACGGTGGCTCATGCCTGTGATCCCAGCACTTTGGGAGGCCAAGGTGGGCAGATCACCTGAGGTCGGGAGTTCAAGACCAGCCTGACCAACATGGAGAAACCCTGTCTCTACTAAAATTACAAAATTAGCTGAGCGTAGTGGCACATGCCTGTAATCCCAGCTACTTGGGAGGCTGAGGCAGGAGAATCACTTGAACCCAGGAGGCGGAGGTTGTGGTGAGCCAAGATAGCACCCTTGCACTCCAGCCTGGGCAATAAGAGTGAAACTCCGTCTCAAAAAAAAAAAAAAAAAGTCACCCTATTATGCTACAAAAGACTGGATCTTATTCATGTTTGAGGGGTTTTTTTGAGACAGAATCTCACTCTGTCACCCAGGCTGGAGTGCAGTGGCACAATCTCAGTTCACTGCAACCTCTTCCTCCCAGGTTCAAGCGATTCTTGTGCCTCAGCCTCCCGAGTAGCTGGGATTACAGGTGCAGGCCACCATGCCCAGCTAATTTTTTGTATTTTTAGTAGAGACAGTGTTTCACCATGTTGGCCAGGCTGGTCTAGAACTTCTGACCTCACGTGATCTGCCTGCCTCGTACTCCCAAAGTTCTGGGATTACAGGAATGAGCCACCACACCTGGCCCTAGAACTTATTCATTCTAAATGTATTTATGTACCCATTAACCATCCTCACTTTATCCTCCACTCCTGCCACTCTTCCCAGTCTCTGATAAGCATCATTCTACTCTCTATCTCCATGAATTCAGTTTTTAAAATTTTTAGCTCCCACATATGAGTGAAAACATGTAAAATTCATCTTTCTGTGTCTGGTTTATTTCACTTAATGACTTCCAGTTCCATTCATGTTGTTGCAAATGACAGGATTTCATTCTTTTTATGGCTGAATAGTACTTCATTATGTATATGTACCACATTTTTTTATCCTTTTGTCTATTGATGGACATTTAGGTTGTTCATGAAGTAAATTTTGTCTATGCTTGAGCTGATGGATACCCCAATTATCATTATTTCATCATTACACATTGTATGCCTATATCAAAACATCACATGTACTCCATAAATATATAGAACTATTATGTACCAATAATAATTATAAACAAAAAATTTTAATTAAACAAAAAGAGTCCCTTTCTACAGGAAGCCTTTAGCAACACTCCACCTCAGGTTCTATCCCCAGCAAAGTTGGAAGCTAACTCCTCCCCCAGCTCAGCAACCTCTACTCTGTAATTGTCACTTTGCCTTGTTATTCTATGCTTGCATAATCTGTGTCTCTCTAGGAAGCAAGCTGCTAATGGAGAAAGCAATGGGTGTGCCATCTACTCTCTCCCTAACAGCAATGGGGCAGCCACCATTTAGGTAGGCTTAACATTTTCCATTTTGAATCCCATCAGCTTGTTGAATTCCATCACCTTCTGGAACTACAGCCAAAAATAAAAATCAACATATAGGGACAACCACAAAGAAAAATACCAAATTTACTCTTCTTGAGTAGATGGCACCATCATTATCAATTGGTTACTCAACTTACTCAACTCAAGCAGGCGCCCTGGGAATTACCTTATCTCCCCTCACCATTTACATTTAGTTCCCCAAATCCTACACATTCTACATTGTTGGCATTGCTAGGTTTCCCTGCCCTCCGTCTGCTATGCAGTGGCAAGTCAAAGAAAGGAAAGTCTTCTCCTTTCTTTACTCCTCCTAACTCACCTCCCTCTCTTCAGTCTCTTGCTCAGTACATTTTCACGTGGCGTAGATCTGTGTAGAAACTTTCAATGACACTCTCGCCAGTCCTGGCCAATGCTCATGCCTCATCCTAAGCACAAGGCCGATCCTGGCCAGGTCCCAAATTCTTTCCAGCCTCATGTCCTGCATTATTCCCATTCATTGATGCTCTAACCCCACGGAGCTCTTTGTAATTCCTTGACCATATAGTGTAAGCCTTTGCCCATCCAAGTCTTTTACCCTCTCTCCCAAAGTGTTTTCCTTCCCCCACCCTTCACCCTGCCTTTTCCTACCACCAACCTCCCATTCCTCACAAAGAGGCTCAGATAATATCTTTTTTGAAGCTATCTCTAGCACAAAGCGGTTCATACAGCCTCTTCCCATAGCATTTACTATAGAGACCTACTACACCACTGATCACATTATAATCATTTTTCATGCATTTCACTGACTAGATACTTGTGTGTATATATATGTATATTTATTTCTGTAGAAATATTTATAAATATATAGAGAAATATCAACCTCAATATACATATATATTTGTTTATTTTAAAGTAGGATGATGAGTTAGCACTGGCCAGGATTTTTACTTTAAAGAAATATATATGGCCGGGCACAGTGGCTCATGCCTGTAATCCCAGCACTTTGGGAGGCCGAGGCGGTGGATCACAAGGTCAGGAGATCGAGACCATCCTGGCTAACATGGTGAAACCCCGTCTCTACTAAAAAATACAAAAAATTAGCTGGGCATGGTGGCGGGTGCCTGTAGTCCCAGCTACTTGGGAGGCTGAGGCAGGAGAATAGCGTGAACCCAGGAGGCGGAGCTTGCAGTGAGCCGAGATCGTGCCACTGAACTTCAGCCTGGGCGATAGAGCAAGACTCCATCTCAAAAAAATAAAAATAAATAAAAAATATATATATATATATACACACATATATATACATATATATATAAAAAACATAAATATACATATATCAGGATATATATACACATATCAGGATACATATAAGGTAAATTTTATATTTACATTTTATATTTATTAAATTTTATATATTTATTATTTATAAATTTATATTTTATATTTATTAAATGTTATATTTATATTATATAGCTCTCTCTCTTTCAAGATCCAGTCAGTGAAATGCACAATATATATAAATATGAAATATGTATATTTTGCCACTAAATGAAATAAAAATTCTCAAAGGCAGGAACCATGTATACAATCAGTGCTTAATAAATATTCATTTAAAAGAATGAGTAGAACCCTGTTACACTGTGTTTGTTGTTTTGTTTTGTTTTTTAAGACAGAGTTCGGCTCTGTCGTCCTTGCTGGAGTGTAGTGGCATGATCTCGGCTCACCGCAACCTCAGCCTCCTAGGTTCAAGCGATCCTCCCACCTCAGCACCCCGAGTAGGTGGGACTACAGGCATGCACCACCATGCCTGGCCTAATTTTTGTATTTTTTGTAGAGATGGGGTTTCATCATGTTTCCCAGGCTGGTCTCAACCTCTTGGCTCAAGCAATTCACCCACCTCAGCCTCGGCCTCCCAAAGTGCTAGGATTATAGGCGTGAGCCAATGTGCCTACTTAAGCTACATCTTCAGCAAAATTCTTAACAGTTATAATTCTATATATTGAGGAGAAAGAATCATGTCCCTAGAGATGTGAGTGGTTCCCACAGCAGATGGTCACATGGAACATTCTAATCAGACAGGCCAAAAAAGAAGCAAACCAAAGTCAGGGCCCTGTGTAGCAGCCTCTACAGCAACAGGCTGAAAATTCTTCCAAACTAACTCTGACCCCCAGACTTCTTTACTGAGATCAACCAGTATCCCATTTAAAAGTTTCAGCCACAAAATGGGGCATTCTTTCCTTGTGATTCACATTACCCAGAAGCCTCCAGCTTCCCGGAATTTGTGTTAAGCAGTAGCTTTCAAAGATGATAATATTTGCCAACAGTCCCTGGGGCACTACTTTACATTTTCCTGAAACAAAAAGGGGATTATTTTGTTCATATTCCTCATTTCTACAGGCCTTTGCATATATTAGTTCTTCCTCTTCTGGCATTAAATAGCAATCTCTTTCCATTAAATTATGAGAATTACTTTATTGTCTTTTTAACATCAGTTGTCCATCAAGGTTGACAAGGCTCCTTGACATTCTCATGAACATCTTACTCAACATGTGGGTCCTAATTTCCCACTCGTCTTAAGAAATGCTGATCATAGGTAGTAAGAAATTAACACTTAAGAATTTGATCTTTACCAATGTCCCATAATTACCTATTCAGTTCTATAGGCCTGCATTATTACTGCCCAAACCATAATCTTTGAAATTATGTAGAAAGAAAAAAAATGATGCTGTGATTATTATCAATCTAATCAAATCCAATTATTTGATTATTGATAACTTATTTTTCTTCTCTGGCCTTTTTTCATCCCTTTTCATATCTCAGGAGTGTGCTCTATCACACTTCCTCCTGCCCAAGGATTAGTATGTCCAGATTCTGGCTTTCCTGCAAGGTGTATTTTGAATGCCAATATCCCTCTATGGAATTCCCATGATGCCTCCCTATCCAACATAACCTTTCTGTTCTCATGCACCACCTTAGTCCCTTCTCTAATATTTTGCACTACATTGTAGACATGGCTCCATATGTCTTAACTTTCCTACTGCACTACGAGTTTCTTAAAGAAATAATACGCATGCTCTTATTATGTTATCTTTAAAGGACTCTCAGAGTACTGAGTTTACAGAAGCATGCCATTGTTTGTTGGGTAAATACATTTTTCTGCCCATAAACTGCTATACTAGGTAAATGGGTGATTTAAAGGTTTTAGTGAATAATTAAGACCAATTTGGGTCAAGGTTTTTACAGTATTTGACATATAGAATGTAATCCAGCTTCCACTATTCTCTAGCTCAGGGATGCACCTTCTTTGCCTTAAAAAGTCTTACTCATCACTGGAATAGAAGCTTCCTGAGGGCAGTGGCCGTTCCTATTGTTTCCCTCAGTGGCCCCTGTGCCTGGCTTGTGGTAAGTATTCAATACATATTAATTAGTAAATTAATCTTTCAAGATCCAATTCCATTTCTTTTGAAAGCTTTTCCTAACCATCTCAGGATTCACTTATGCCTGATGCTACATATGTCTGTGTATATATACATATATTCATATATATGTACATACATGTATGTGTATATGTGCTTTTTGGATGATTCAACGGTATAGTCATTCAAAGAAAGCATATCTTTCTATTTTATAGATAAGAAAACAGAGGGCAAGAGACCTTTAAGTAATGAGGTTACAAGCTGGTTAAGTGGCAAACCTTGAATTCTGACTCAAGTATGTCAATTCCACCGGGTTCTTGTTAATATACCACTGTGTCTTTTATAATTTCAAGAGGCTTGAAATTTCCCTCACTTTCCAAAATCAACAGCATAGTAACATAATCCTTCCAGGGTTAGCATTAATTTTAATATCTATAGTCCTTTGAGATCTATTTCTCTTTCTGTTCTTTACTTTGCAGTATGCTCTGGGAACGTGCTCTGCCTGTGATGAGAAGTTCCATTCTAGTTATATACCACTTTGGCTTCCTTTTCCATATATGAACTAACAATGCATTTTTCTTGGATTTCTCTCAGTTCTTGTAGTTTAATAAAGCTTCCCAAGACACGCTGAAGGTTTCTTCCCTCTGTGCACACTTCCTCCTTCCTACTAATCACCTTTCTTTTGTGACAGTCCATCTCTCTTCTAATACTTCATTTAGCATAGATTTTCCAGCTGTCTCCTTTATCTTTTTTAAATTATAATTATAATTAAAGTATAATTTTAAGATGTATGATTATATACCTCTTCATTGCAGAAATGTTAGAAAATGCATATACATAAAAGGAAAATATTGATAACTAGAAATACCACCACCCAGTAAAAGTACCATTAATTCTGCAATCTCCATCTTGCTTTATTTTTATCTATATGAATATATTTGTTTACAGATACAGATTTTTAAAATAAAATTAAATACATGAGTCATTTTGAATTAAGAATTTGTCATTTAGTGTCCTGTGGACACAAAAAGGAGGATTTTGGGCCGGGCATGGTGGCTCATGCCTATAATCCCAGAACTTTGGGAGGCCGAGGCAGGTGGATCACCTGAGGTCAGGAGTTCGAGACCAGCCTGTCCAACATGGTGAAACCCCGTCTCTACTAAAAGTACAAAAATTAGCCAAGCATGGTGGCGGTCGCCGGTAATCCCAGCTACTTGAGAGGCTGAGGCAGGATAATCGCTTGAACCCAGGAGGCAGAGGTTGCAGTGAGCTGAGATCGTGCCATTGCACTCCAGCCTGGGCAACAAGAGCAAAACTCCATCTCAAAAAAAAAAAAAGGAGAAAGGTTTTTTGGCAAACAATAAAATTTGTTATATATTCAAATAAATCTCATTAATTATATTATTCAGTTTCTCTAGTATAATGCATATTTGTTCCTCTTTGGTTAGTTAATGACTCACAGGAATATGCTAATGTTCTCCCACCACAGATTTTTTTCTTCACGCATCGCAAACAGATTTTCCATTATGTATTTTATCATTATGTTGTTTTTTATTGTACATAATTTCACTACAATTAGGTATTTATTGAGGTTTCTATATGTCAGCAATAAAACAGTAATCCTTTTGTCCTATTTGTTGATTTTTACAGGAACATAAAATACTCCTATGTCAAAATTGGGACTCCTGCTTTATTTTTGTTTGTATTTGTATGTCATGTTTTGCTAATTCTTACATTTTTAACCCAGCATGTGGAGCAGTGCTAGGCACATGGTAGGCATGCAATAATTTGATTCATTGATCTACTGAATCAATAAATAGTGGTTACACTTCCTTTGTTACTCCTTGTAGATGTCTCTTCTAGGTATTACCTTATTGGATTTCGTTTTTGACCCAGTGTGGTACTTTCTTTCTTTCTTAGGTGATTTTACTTCATTTTTATTTTTTTTAAGTAATATACACTTGGTCCTATTTCTGTCATGTTGTTGTGTGTTTTTAAATGTTTATTACTATTTTCTAACTTTTATCTGTTTCACTGATGTGTTTTCCTTCGATAATAATTTGAAATGTTTTAGTTCTGCCAGTAGTTATCTTTTTAAAAAATTACTTAAATCCATGCTTCCCTTCAATATTCTCAATCTATATTATAATTGAAGAGTATCTATTGACATTTCATATGAAAAATACTTCCTCCTATGGCCTCCCCTTCTACCTGCCATCTAGCCAGTTGGGAGAGGTAAGGTTTGGGACTTTTGTCTCAGCAAATTATTGTAAATGTTAACACTGTATATGTTTAGAGTATTATCATTGTTTGCGCAGTGATCCTTCTTTTTCGATAATGTGATGGGTTTTTTTTTTGTTTGTTTGTTTTTGTTTTAAAGTTCTGGGATCCACGTGCAGGATGTGCAGGTTTGTTACACAGGTAAACATGAGCCATGGTGGTTTGCTGCACCTATCAACCCATCACCTAGGTATTAAGCCCAGCATGCATTAGCTGTTTTTCCTGATGCTCTCCCTTTCCCACACCCCACCAACAGGCCCCATCATGTGTTGTTCCCCTCCCTGTGTCTATGTGTTCTCATTGTTCAGCTCCCACTTATAAATGAGAAGGTGTGCTGTTTGGTTGTCTGTTCCTGTGTTAGGTTGCTGAGGATAATGGCTTCTAGCTCCATCCATGTCCCTGCAAAGGACATGATCTCATTCCCTTTTATGGCTGCATAGTATTCCATGGTGTACATGTACTACATTTTCTTTATCCAGTCTATCATTGACAGACATTTGGGTTGATTTCATGTCTTTGCTATTGTGAATAGTGCTGCAATGAACATATGTGTGCATGTATCTTTATAACAGAATAATTTATATTCCTTTGAGTATATACCCAGTAATGGGATAGCTGTGTCAAATGGTATTTCTGGTTCTAGGTCTTGGAAGAATCACCGCACTGTCTTCCACAATGGTTGAGCTAATTTACATTCCCATGAACAGCATAAAAGTGTTCCTATTTCTCCACAGCCTCACCAGCATCTGTTGTTTCTTGACTTTCTGATAATCTCTATTCTGACTGGTATGAGATGGTATCTCATCATAGTTTTGATTTACATTTATCTAATTATCAGTAATGCTGAGCTTTTTTTAATATGTTTGTTGGCCACATAAATGTTTTCTTTTGAGAAGTGTCTATTCATGTCCTTTGCCCACATTTTAAGGGGGTTGTTTGCTTTTTAGTGTGAATTTGCTTAAGTTCCTTGTAGATTATGGTTATTGGACCTTTGTCGGATGGATAGACTGCACACATTTTCTCCCATTCTGTAGGTTGTCTGTTCACTCTGATGATGGTTTCTTTTTCTGTGCAGAAGTGCTTCAGTTTAGTGAGATCCCGATTGTCAATTTTTGTTTTCATTGCAATTGCTTTTGACATTTTCACCTTGAAATCTTTGCCCATGCTTATGTGCTGAATGGTATTGCCTAGATTTTCTTCTAGGGTTTTTATAGTTTTGGATTTTACATTTAAGTCTTTAATCCATCTTGAGTTAATTTTTGTATAATGTGTAAGGAAGGGGTCCAGTTTCAATTTTCTGCATATGACTAGACAGTTCTCCCAGCACCATTGATTAAGTAGGAAATCCTTTCCCCATTGCTTGTTTTTGTCAGGTTTGTTGAAGATCAGATAGTTGTAGATGTGCAGTCTTATTTCTGAGTTCTGTATTCTGTTCCATTGTTCTATATGTCTGTTTTGGTACCAGTACCATGCTGTTTCAGTTACTGTAGCCTTGTAGTATAGTTTGAAGTAGGTAGCATGATGCCTCCAGCTTTGTTCTTTTTGCTTAGGATTGTCTTCACTATATGCACTCTTTTTTGGTTCCATATAAATTTTAAAGTAGTTATTTCTAATTCTGTGAAGAATGTCAATGGTAATTTAATGGGAATAGCATTCAATCTATAAGTTGCTTTGGGCAGTATGGCCATTTTCATGATATTGATTCTGCCTACCTGTGAGCATGGAATGTTTTTCCATTTGTTCATGTCCATTCTGATTTCCTTGAGCAGTGGTCTGAGTTCTCCTTGAAGAGGTCCTTTACTTCCCTTGTTAGCTGTATTCCTAGGTATTCTATTCTCTTTGTATCTAATGAGAATGGAAGTTCATTCATGATTTGGCTCTCTGCTTGTCTATTGTTGGTGTATAGGAATGCCTGTGATTTTTGCACATTGATTTTCTATGCTGAGACTTTGCTGATGTTGATTATTAGCTTAAGAAGTTTTGGGGCTAAGATGATGGGGTTTTCTAGATATAAGATTATGTCATCTGCAAACAGAGATAGTTTGATTTCCTCTCTTCCTATTTGAATACGTTTTATTTCTTTCTCTTGTCTGATTGCCCTGGCCAGAACTTCCAATACTATGTTGAATAGGAGTGGTGAGAGAGGATATCCTGTCTTGTGCCGGTTTTCAAGAGGAATGCTTCCAGCTTTTTCCCATTCCGTATGATATTGGCTGTAGGTCTGTCATGAATGGCTCTTCTTATTTGTAGGTATGTTCCATCAATACCTAGTTTACTGAAAGTTTTTAACATGAAGGGATGTTGAATTTTATTGAAGGCTTTTTCTGTGTCTATTGAGATAATCATGTGGTTTTTGTCTTTAGTGCTGTTTATGTGATGAATTACATTTATTGATTTTTATATATTGAACCAGCCTTGCATCTGGGTATGAAGCCAACTGGATTGTAGTGGATAAGCCTTTTGATGAGCTGCTAGATTCAGTCTGCCAGTACTTTATTGAATATTTTTGCATTGAAGTTCATCAGGGATATTGACCTGCAGTTTTTAATAATGTGACTTTTGCAATCTTTTAGGTAACCATGTGGTATAGTTTGGATATTTGTCCCCACCCAAATCTCATGTTGAATTGTAATCCCCAGTGTTGGAGGTGGGGCCTGGTGGAAGGTATTTGGATCATGGGGACAAATCCCTTATGGCTTGATACTGTCTTCATGATAGTGAGTTCTCATGAGATTTGGTCACTGAAAAGTTGTGGCACCTCCCCCACACAACTCTCTCTCTCCTGCTCTTGCTTGTGCCATGTGATGTGCCTGCTCCTGCTTCACCATCTGCCATAATTGTAAGCTTCCTGAGGCTTCCCCAGAAGCAGAGCAGATACCAGCAGCATGCTTCCTGGATAGCCCACAGAACCATGAGCCAATTAAACCTCTTTGCTTATAAACTACCCAGTCTCAGGCATTTCTTTATGGCAACACAAGAGTGGCCTAATATACGATGTTTATCATAGTTTTATGTACCCTGTTCTAAATTGAATAGTTTCAAGGCTTATTACTGTCACTAGCCCTTCCATACCATGATTTCTCACTTCAAGAGGTTTTATTTACTTATATTTAAATTTTGAATGAATAATTCCATAAAACTTTAAAGGCAAGAACGTCACCAAGACAATTCTAGGTGTTGTTCATTTTGTCATTAATTATACATTAGCCACAGGCATATCTGGATCATTGTTTTTTTCAGAAACATCTTTGTTTTATTTGTTCTCTCCCTTTTGGGATCACCAATTATCCACATGCTACACCATTATTATTTGTCTCCTGTATCTTTTATATTCCTTCTAACTCTCTAGTCTTCTTGCCTATTTCCTCTATGTTCTTACAAAGCTTCTTATACTTATCTCATTTAACTGGCTTGATTCTCTGCAGTGGTAATTCCACTCTTCATTGCTTCATATGCCATTATAATGTCTGTTGTGGTCTTACTTGTTCCCTTACATTTTAGTCTTACATTTCTTTTTTATTCTCATTCTGTTGTCTTACCATAACATCTTCTATCGCTTATTCAAAGAAATCATAATTTGTTTAAGTATCCTGAAATTTCTAAGCAAATGCTCCCTAAAACTGAACTGTCTTTTCTGGAGTATGTTCAGCCTTTGGTTTGGGGAATGCTATGGTAATCTTCTACTTTTATGTGGCAGAATATTTTATATATCCCATTTTTTGTTTTGTTTCGTTTCATTGTTGTTTACTTTAGAAATCATTCATTTAATTTAAAAAATAAGACGGGTTGCAGCGGCACATGCCTGTAATCTCAGCAATTTGGGAGGCTGAGGCAGGAGGATCCCTTGAGTACAGGAGTTCGAGACCAGCCTGGGCAATACAGTTGAAACCACTTCTAAAAATAAAATATTAGCCTAGTGTGGTGGCGTGCACCTATGGTCCCAGCTACTCGGGAGGCTAAGGTGAGAAGATTGCTTGAACACAGGAGTTGGAGGCCACAGTGAGCTGTGATCACGCCACTGAACTCCAGCCTGGGTGACAGAGCAAGATCCCATCTTAAATAGATAAATAAAATAATTTTCAAAATATATTTATTGAGATAAAGGTAAAGAAAAAAATCTTAGCACTAGCCTGCAGTTTCATCTTCTAGTGTGAAAAATCTTTAAACAAGTAAGCAAAGAAATATCCAATGTGAACTGGGGAAAGTCATTTAAGAAAAAGGGAGTCCTATCAGAAAGAATACTTTGGGGAACCTCTTTTGTTTGGGTGATTCCCTAGACCTCTTGAGAAGTACCATTTAAGATAAAATTTAGGCCAGGTGCAGTGGCTCATGCCTGTAATCCCAGCACTTTGGGAGGCTGGGGTGGGCAGATCACCTGAGGTCAGGAGTTCGAGACCAGCCTAGCCAACGTGATGAAAGCCATCTCTACTAAAAATACAAAAAATTAGCCGGACGTGGTGGTGCACACCTGTAATTTCAGCTACTCAGGAGGCTGAGGCACAGGAATTGCTTGAACCCAGGAGGCAGAAGTTGCAGCGAGCCAAGACCACATCAGTGCACTCTAGCCTGGGAGACAGAGCAAGACTCTGTCTCAAAAAAAATACAATGAACAAGGTAAAAATACCAGCACATGCAAAGCTCTGAGGTCAGAAACACTCCAGTTCCTCTCCACCCTAATCACTCTGCAGGAGATAAAGAGGTTGGAAAAAACCAGGTCATTCCCAGTGTTGTACAAGCTTGGACATTCTTGGAAATGCCAGGAGAAGTTATTAGGATCTTTAGGGGAAAGGACTGACATGGTCTGATCGATGCTTCAAGTTTATTAGGACTGCTATCTGAAGAATGGGGTTGAAAGAAAAAAGGAGAAGCAAGGGCCAATTAGGAAGGTTTGTCAGTAATCCCAGTAAGAAATTATAGCAGTTTGAATTAAGAGAGAAAGACTAAAGTTATACTTTGGAATAAGAATCTTAGATTAAATGGATTGGATTAAATGTGGTGGAGAGAAGGTTGTTAAATAAGGAGAAAAAAATATTAGGCCTTTGGCTTGAACAACCAGGTGGACGGTGCTGCTGTTTACTGAGATGTGAAAGACTAGGGGAAGAACAGGGTTAGGGCTGAAAATCAAGAATTCAGTTTTGGACATGTTAAGCTTGAGATGCATGTGAAAAATAGATAACATGGAGACTCTGTGGAGAAATAGTAGATGGAAATAGAAACTTGAGAAGTCATCAGGATACAGAGGTATTTAACATGAATGGATTGGAGCACCTTGGGTAGAAGTATAGAGGGAGATGAGTAGGTAGCCAAACACCACAACCTAAGGGACTCCAAAGTTTAGACATGTAGTAGAGAAGGAAGAGATGTAAGGAGGACCCAAAGACTGTGGAGTCACAGAAGCCAAGAAAGAAAGGTGTTTCAAGAACAGTGGTCGACTTTCATTTAAAATGGCAAAATGAAGATACTTCTACACACTTCTCTCAGAAATCTCCTTCAAACAACAAAGAGAATGAGAACAGAAACACAAATTCCAACTTTAATGAATGCTAGAGACATTTGTAGCCAACAAAAATATGAAGATGAAAAGAGGTGGAAGGATAGTAACTACCTATAGGAACAGTAGAAAGTGAAACAAGTGCTTGCAGAGAGATACTGATGAGAAGAAAGTTGATTGACTCTGCCTAACCCTGAAAAGACACAGAAAATGGAGTTATCCAGTACTATAAAAAAGGGAGAAAAATGGAAAATTGAGCCTTGGGATTTTGGATCTCTTGCGCCACAATATGAATGGACAACCAAGTATTTCCAGACATTTACAGTAATATAAAAATAGAGATTCAAACAAACTGTAAAAAGGAACTTGAAGAGGAAAAAAAGTATAAAAGCTGAAGAACTCTTGAAATTTAAAACACTGTAATTACTCCTCTCAGAATGATAAGAATATATTGTGTGTATAAATCAGCAACAGGAAGCCACATAAAAGAAAAGTTCGGCCAGGCACAGAGGCTCACACCTGTAATCCCAACAAGCGTTGGGAGGCGAGGCAGACAGATCATGAGGTCAAGAGATTGAGACCATCCTGGCCAACATGGTGAAACCCCGTCTCTACTAAAAAATACAAAAATAAGCTGGGCATGGTGGTGCACACCTGTAGTCCCAGCTGCTCGGAAGGCTGAAGCAGGAGAATCGCTCAAACCCGGGAGGCAGAGGTTGCAGTGAGTCGAGATCACACCACTGCACTCCATCCTAGCAACAGAGTGAGACTCTGTCTCAAAAAAAAAAAAAAAGAAAAAGAAAAAGAAAAAAAAAGACAGAAAAATTCAGAGAACAAGAAAGAGATCTTGGAAATAAAAATACAACTGCAATGACTTTTTAAAAATCAATAGAGCAATTGGAAGATACAAACCAAGAAAATCCCTCACTTTTCTTTGAAATTAAGGACTTGTTAATAATAATACAGAAAACTTCCTCCCAGAATTTAGAAAAAAAAGAGAAAGCTTTTTGCAATCAAATTATCAGTCCAGCCTCTGATGAAGCCTATGTTAGTAGGCACATCTGAGTGGTAATGAATGCCAGCAGCTCTGATGAAAAAAACAGGATCAATCCAGAAGATGAGTTCCAGAAAGGAAGAAGAACAGAGAAAATAATGGGAGGGAAATTATTTTATATACACACACTTAATTCCCAGAATTAAAAGACATAAAACTATAAATTAAAAGGATCCACAATTACACACAATGAATATTAAAAGATCCCTAGGACACATTATCATAAAATTTTAGAACATCAAAAATGAAAAGAAGATCCTAAAAGCTTCCAGACAGAAAAACAGGTCCCATAGAAATGACAGAAATCCAAATGGTATTTGGCTTTACAACAGCTATATCAGAGGTGGCAGCATAGGGGAAAGGTTGGAAACCTGGCTGCTGGGTTTGAATCCTGACTCTATACTCTGTGAGTAATGATAGTGTTGTTATGAGGATAAGGTAGGTTCGTATTTATAAGCGTGCAGAACAGTGTCTGGTACCTAATATTTGCGATTTAAGTATTTTCTAAATATACCTAGGGAAGATAAATTGAACACGTATTCTAAATTCTGAGGGTAAATGAGTAAATGAGCTGCCACTTGCAAGTCAGTACCTAACTAAAACTCTTAAATAGGTATAAGAATAGAAAAAAACATCTTTTTTTTTTTTTAGGCAGAGTCTCTTTCACCCAGGCTAGAGTGCAGTGGTGCGATCTCGGCTCACTGCAACCTCCACCTCCCAGGATTAAGCAATTCTCATGCCTCAGCCTTCCTAGTAACTGGGATTACAGGTGCTCGCCTGTAATTAGCACCAGCTAATTTTTGTATTTTTAGTAGAGATGGGGTTTCGCCATGTTGGCCATGCTGGTCTTGAACTCCTGACCTCAGGTGATCCACCCACCTTGGCCTCCCAAAGTGCTGGGATTACAGGAATTAGAAAAAAAAAAAAAAAAAAAAAACATATTTTCAGGCATGCAAAGTCACCCCCAAAATTAACTTCCTCTGCACCTTTTCTCAGGAAGCTCCAGAATTATAAGCATCACTGAAAATAGGGATTAAACTAAGAAAGAGGATACAATAGGCAGGAAATAGGGAACCTAACACAGGAGAAAAGCAAAGGAAAGTCCCAGAATGACAGCTGGATAGCAGGCCTAGAGGGTAATCAGTGAAGATCACAGGATGGTCTTCAGAAAAATAAATGAAATGGATAGATTCCTGCCAGATTTGACCATGTCAGACATCATACTGAAAGAAGGAAGAAAAATTAGCAAAGGCTGCAAGGTACAAGGAAATGAACAAATGAAAATAAATCAGGCAATTACTATGTACAGGAAAAACAGAAAGTTGAATAAGAAAAAGAAACAATCAGTACACTGCTTGGCCAAGCTGACAGCAGTATTAATTTAGTCCATTAATAAAAATATTTAATAGTGATTTAAGTAGAAACAGTGATATAACTATTCCAGAGGATTAAAAAGGGATAAGAGTTGGGGCTTGGGAGATATGTGTGCTAAACAGCAACTACCAAAATGAGAAGCCAATATAATCTCTAAAGTTAAAAAGCAAAGAGAGTATTGACATATTATTTAGAAATATGGAGGTAAACACAGGACTGGAATACTTACCCTAAATAGTGTGTATGTATTCTCCTGAGCCTCCTTATTAATCCTAGGCACCACTTAAAAATCGCCTCTTAGATCCATTTGGAGGGCTGATGATGTATGGTCTTCTCATAACTGTTCTAAAAGAAATCTAAAGAATATTGGAGAGAGCTGAGGCCAGGCCTGCCTGGGATCAGGTGAGGAAGAGGAAATAATCTTTATTATTTGACTTCTATATTTCACCCTGTCTCATAGGAAGGTAGATTCCCATGTCCATTGCTCTTTGGTTTGATAGTCGCTCTTGGTACACCCACCATTTGATACAGATTCCCTTTCTCTTGGTGGGAAAGTGAGCACTGATAGTTCTGTTTGGGAAAGTCCTTCTTTTCCTTGAAGTGAAGCCCTAAGTTACTGAGAAGACGAATCAAAGAAAATACTCAATTTACTGTTTGTTACTATAAGCTGTACTCTTTTTTGTTTTGCTGTTTTGTTTTGTTTTGAGACAGAATCTCGCTCTGTCGCCCAGGCTGGAGTACAGTGGCGCGATCTCGGCTCACTGCAACCTCCGCCTCCCGGGTTCAAGCGATTCTCCAGCCTCAGCCTCCCGAGTAGCTGGGACTACAGACGTGCGCCACTACGCCTAGCTAATGTTTGTATTTTTAGTAGAGACGGGGTTTCACCATGTTGGTTGGCCAGGATGGTCTCGATCTCTTGACCTCGTGATCTGCCCGCCTTGGCCTCCCAAAGTGCTGGGATTAGAGGCGAGAGCCACCGCGCCCGGCCCAGTATAAGCTATGCTCTTACAGCCACATCTCCCACTCTGCCTCAGCCTCTCTCTAAATTAAGGGGTTCCAGTTAGGTTTCCAGGATTTCCTTTCTCTGTCTCTTCAGTCCGGGCTCATTGCACCATAACTAATAGAAATTCTTTGAATTTTGTGGAATGTGGTTGGCAACATTCCCTGGTTTCAAAACAAATTAGTTGGGAGCATTTTGTTTTTTTGAAAGTCTCTTGGCCATTTCCAGTTCTGAGAAAAGCTTCAGAAACTTATATGTAAACTGCCATCTTTCCCAGAAACCTGTGGCAAGGTTTCTTGATTCTCCTAAGTGTGTTTAACTCATGTCTAAATATCCCTATAAAAAGTATCAAATTGTAATATATTGAAAATAGGCCTTTTCAAATTCACAACCTAAGGGGGCTTCTATTGTAATGTATACTAGATAGTGCCACCTGGTCCTGTATTGATTGAATTATACAAGGATGTATATTGTTAAGAAGAATGTTTAAAATTTTAATACAAACAAAATATGATATAGTCACAAAATGAAATATTTAGCCACAGAAAGGAATGAAGTTATTCAACATAGATGAAACTTGAAAATATTATACTAAGTGAAGAAGCTAGACACAAAAGGCTATTATCATATGACTCCATTTGTATGAATTGTCCAGAGAAAACAAATCTGTAGAGACATAAAGTAGATTACTGGTTTCAGAGTATAGGGGAAAGGGAAATGGAGAATGATTGCTAGTGGATACAGTGATGAAAATGCTTTGGAAAAGAAAGGGGTGGTGACTGCACCACTTTCTGAGTATAGCAAAAAACCACGAGTGTACACTTTAAAAAGGTGAATGTTACAGTGTGTGAATTACATCTCAATTAAAAAAAAATGAATACACTCTCCCTGGGGCACTGAAACGTGTTTAAAAATTTCAAACCATAGCATGCACAATTGCATACAAAAGAAGAATTCACAGAGCTATGCAGAAAGTGACAAGCCCTAAAACTTACTTAGAGTTTTATGTACCAGTCATGGAATCAAAACATTAATAAGTGGTAAAATAAAATGGAGTTCTGAAATGTGAATAGTGTGCTACCATTTGAATTTTAAAAAAGAAAAAAAAGAGGGCCGGGTGCAGTGGCTTACACCTGTAATCCCAGAACTTTGGGAGGCCGAGGCGGGCAGATCACTTGAGGTCAGGAGTTCAAGACCAGCCTGGCCAACATGGTGAAACCCCATCTCTACTGAAAATACAAAAATTAGCCGGGTGTGGTTGCACGTGCCTGTAATCCCAGCTACTCAGGAGGCCGAGACACAAGAATCATTTGAACCTGTGAGGCGAAGGATGCAGTGAATCGAGATCGCGCCACTGCACTCCAGCCTGGGCAACAGAGTGAGACTCTGTCAAAAAAAGAAAGCAAAGAAAAAGAATAAAATTTTTTACATATACGTAAAATATCTTAAGGCAATATTTTAAAAATGGTCACAGTGGTTGTTTTCAATGAGAACTGGCTAAGAAATGTGTGACAGTGTAGTTAAGACTTTCACTAGATATCCTTCTGATTTTAAACCATGAATGAAATACACATTCAAAATAAATGAAAATTAAATTAATTTTGCCTAATTTTAGTTAACTTTATATTTACAAATACAATCTCCAACTATAACTGTAGTGTTTTCTATGTGTACTTTCAGGTCTTTAGCTTTTGTTTAATATATTTAAAGCCCTGTTATCAGCTGCACCCACAATTAAAATAGCTGTGGCTTCTTGTTGACTTGACCCCTTTATCATTAGAAAATGCCCTTCTTTAATACTTGTAATGTTCCTTGTTCTTAAGTTTATCTTCTCTGATATTAATAAAGCCACTCCAGATTTCTTTTGATAAGTAGTTGCATAGTATATATTTTCCCATTGTTTTAATTTTTAACCTGTCTTTATATGAAATATTAGTTGCATTATAGCACATAGTTGAGTATAGTTTTTCTCTTTATCCAATCTAACAATCTCTGCCTTTAAATTGGAGTATTAAGACCATTTACACATAATGAATTATTGATATGGTTAAATTTAAATCTATCTTATTGCTATTTCCTATTTGTTCCATGTGTTCTTTATTCCCTTTCCCCCATCCTTGCTTTCTTTTGGATTGAGTATTTGTTTTTTATGATAGCATTTATCTTCACTAATGGCTACACATTTTTTTTTTTTCTGAGATGAGGTCTCACTCTATCACCCAGGCTGGAGTACAGTGATGCAATCTCAGCTCACTGCAGCCTCAACCTCCTAGGGCTCAGGTGATCCTCCCACCTCAGCCTCCTGAATAGCTGGGACTACAGGTGCATGCCACCATGGCCGGCTAATTTTTGTATTTTTTGTTGAGACAGGGTCCCGCTATGTTGCCCAGGCTGGTCTCAAGCTCCTGGGCTCAACTGATCTTCCCCACCTTGGCCTCCAAAAGTGCTGGGATTATAGGCATGAGCTACCATGCCTGGCATTCAGCTACACCTTTTTGTTTTAGTTTTGATGTGGTTGCCCTGGGATTTATAATATACATCTTTAACAAATCATAGTCTACCTACAAGTAATTTTATACCACCTCAAGTATAGTGTAAAGACCTTACCACAGTATACTTCTATTTCCTTCTATTGCTTGTCATGCTTCATATTTACCAATTTTAAATTACAAATTTCAATTTTACATATGTTATAAATTTTATGGTACATTGTTATTATTTTAAATAGTCAATTATTGCGATGGCTAATTTTACATGTCAACTTGACTGGGCCACAGTGCCCAGATATTTGGTCAAACATTGTTCTAGATGTGTTTCTCTGAAGGTGTTTTTTGGATGAGATGAACATTTAAGTCAGTGGACTTTGAGTAATCAGATTACCTACCATAATGTGGATGTGCCTCATCCAATCAGATGAAGACCTTAATAGAACAAAGACTGACTTCTCCTGAGCAAGAAGGAATTCTGCCAGCAAACTGCCTGTAATAATGTTGTGTGTCAACTTGACTGGGCCATGGGGGGTCCAGATGTTTAATTAAACATTATTCTGCATGGTCTTTGGGGGTGTTTCTGCAAGAGATTAACATTTGAATAGGTAGACTGAGTAAAACAGATTGACCTCCTCAATGCGGATGCACCTCATCCAATTCACTGGAGTCTGAATAGAATCAAGGAAGGATGGTTAGTGGTAAGGGAGAATCCACTCTCTGCCTGACTGTTTTTAAGCTGGGACAATGATCTCCTGCCCTTGAACTAGAACTTATGTCATCAGCCCTCCTTGTTCTCAGGACTTCAAACTTGGACTAGAACTATACCACTGGCTCTCCTGGGATTACAGCTTCTACCTTTGGACTAAAATTGTCACTCTTTCTTGAGCCTCTAGTCTTCCAGCCTACCCTGCAGATTTTGGACTTACCAAATTTCCACAATTTTGTGAGTCAATTCCTTAAAACAAATTTATATCTATCTCTCCATCGATCCACATGCAGCTGGGTCTGTTTCTTTGGAAAATCTTGACTAATACAATTATGTTTAAGATGGCTAAAAAATAAGAGAAATTTTATTTTATATTTACTTACAATCTTACTATGTCTGGTGTTCTTTACTTCTTTGTGTAGATCCAAATATGATATCATTTTCCTTCTTCAAGTTTTCTGGCAATTGATTTTTTAGTTTCCTTTATTCTGAAATAGTCTTCATTTCCCCTCATTTTTGACAGATATTTTCCCTGGATTTAGATTGCTAGGTTGACCTTTTTTCCTTTAGCTCTAAAATGATATCATGCCACTGTCATGTAGCCTACATGGTTTACAACAAGAAAACTGCTCTTCTTATGTTTGTTTCTCTATAAGATATCTGCTATGCTTTGAGTGTTGGTCCCCTTCAAAATTCGTGTTGAAATTTAATTGCCAATGTAATGGTATTGATGAGTGGGGCCTTTGAGAGATCTCATGAGTGGGTTTAATGCCTTAATAAAAGGGGTTCTGGAAATGGGTTCTCTCTCTCCCTTTTTTTTTTTTTTTTTTTTTTTTTTTTTTTGAGACAGAGTCTCGCTCTGTCACCAAGGCTGGAGTGCAGTGGTGCAATCTCAGTTCACTGCAACCTTCACCTTGCTGGTTCAAGTGATTCTCCTGTCTCAGCCTCCTGAGTAGCTGGGACTACAGGCACACACCTCTATGCCTGGCTAATTTTTGTATTTTTTTTTTAGTAGAGACGGGGTTTCACCATATTGGTCAGGCTGGTCTCAAACTCCTGACCTCAGGTGATCCACCTGCCTCGGCCTCGCAAAGTGTTGGGATTACAGGGGTGAGCCACCGCGCCCAGCTGGGTTCTCTCTCTTAAGCAACTCTGCTATGTGAGAAACAGAGTTCCTCCCCTCTATAGGATGCAGCATTCAAGAAAACATCTTGGAAGCAGAGACCAGGCCCTCACCAGACACCAAACCTGCCACCACCTTTTCCTTGGGAAGTCCAAGAGGTCTAGAGGCTGGGAAGCCTCTAGAATTGTAGGAAATAAATTTCTGTTCTTTATAAATTATACCCCATCTCAGGTATTCAGCTATAACATCATAAAACAGATGAAGATGGTGCCTTTCCCCCACCCCACCCACCTTCTTTTTAAGGTTTTTCTCTTCATCACTGATTCTCAACAATTTGATTGTGATATACCTTGATGTGGTTTTCTTTATGTTTATTCTTGAATCTATGGGCTTATAATTTTTATCACATTTGAAAGTTTTATGGCTATTACTTCCTTGAATATTTATTTCAGTTCTCCCTACTCTTCTCCTTTTGTGAAAACAATCCTGTAGATTAGATTATATAATTTTGTCCCACAACTCACTGAAGCTCTAGTCATTTTTATTTTCAGTCTTTTCCCACTCTGCTGTATTTTAGATAACACCTGTTTCCATGCCCTTGCGTTTCCTAATCTTTCATCTGCAGTGTCTACATTGCTCTTAACCTCAACCTCATTCGGTACTTTTATTTCAGATATTTTATTTTTTAGCTCTGTAACTTCTATTTGTATTTTTATCTGTTCCATTTTTCTCTTCATTATTTTGATGTTTTGTTTTACATCCTTTAACATATAAGATTTATAATAACTGTAATATTCTTTAAAATATCTCTGTTATTTCTGTGTCTTTTTATTGGTTGATTTTTTTTCAATAATTGACTTTATTTTTTAGAGTAGTTTTTGGATTCATGGCAAAATTGAACAGAAAGCATTAATATAGCCCTGCTCCCACAAACACATAGTCTCCACTACTATCAACAGCCTACACCACAGTCATAAATGTGTTACACTCAACAAACTAACACTGGCACGTCCTTATGACCCCGAAGTCTTTAGTTTATGTCAGGATTCCCTCTTGGTGTTATATATGCTGTGGGTTTGGACAAATGTGTAATGATGTATCTACCATTATAGTGTTATACTGAATAATTTTACTGCCCTGAAAATCCTCTGTGCCCTACCGATTCATCCTTTCCTCACCCCTAATCCCTGGCAACCACTGATCTTTAAGCTGTCTCCATAGTTTTGCCTTTTTCAAAATGTCATATAGTTGGAGTAATACAGTATGTAGTCTTTTTGGATTGGCTTCTTTCACTCAGTCATATGCATCTAATGTTCTTCCATGTCTTTTCCTGAGTTGATAGCTTATTCCTTGTTAGCACTGAATAATACTCTATTTTCTAGATGCATCCCAGTTTATTTATCCATTCACCCACTGAAGGACATCCTGGTTGCTTCCAAATTTTCACAATTATGAATAAACCTGCTGTAAAGACTCATGAGCGGGCTTTTGTGTTGACGTAGGTTTGCAACTCATTTGGGTCATGTGTATGTTTTGTGTGGACATAAGTTTGCAACTGATTTTGGTAAATACCAAGGAGCACAATTTCTGGATTATATGGTTATGATAAGAGTGTGTTTAGTTTTATAAGAAACTTCCAAACTGTCTTTCAATGTACGTGTACCATTTTGCATTCCCAACAGCAATGAATGAGAATTCCTTTTGCCCCACATGCTCACCAGCATTGGATATTTATTTTTGCCATTTTAATAGGTTATAGTGGTATCTCGTTTTAATTTGCAGTTTACCAATAACATATGCTGCTGAGTATCCTTTCATATGCCTATTTGCCATTTGTATATCTTCTTTGATGAAGTGTCTGTTTAGATATTTTGCCCACTTTTAATTGTGTTGTTCTTTTTTAATTGTTGAAACCTAGTAGTTCTTTATATATTTTGGAAATAGTCCTTTATCAGGTATGTCTTTTACAAATATTTTACTCCACTCTGTGGCTTTGTTTTCTCATTCTTTGACTGTTTTTCATTCTTTTGACTGTTTATGTGTTTATGTGAAGATATAAAAACATAACGGAAGTTTTTAACATAATAAATTCCAGCTTATTATTTCTTTCATGGAGTATACCTTTGGTGTTGTATCTAAAAAGTCATCGCCATACCCAAGGTCACCTAGAATTTTTTTTTTTTTTTTTTTTTTTTTTTTTTTTTTTTTGAGACAGAGTCTGACTCTGTCACCCAGGCTGGACTGTGGTGGTTCTATCTCAGCTCACTGCAACCTCCCCCTCCCGGGTTCAAGCGATTCTCCTGCTTCAGCCTCCTGAGTAGCTGGGACTACAGGTGCATGCCACCATGCCCAGCTAATTTTTGTATTTTTGGTAGAGACAGGGTTTCACCATGTTGGCCAGGCTGGTCTTGAACTCCAGACCTCAAGTGATCTGCCCACCTCAGCCTCCCAAAGTGTTGGGATTACAGGTGTAAGCCACCTCACCCAGCCTAGTTTTTTTTCTCTGTTTTATCTTAGGAGTTTTATAGCTTTGCATTTTACATTTAAGTCTATGATTCATTTTGAGTTAATTTTTGTGAAGGATATAAGGCCTATGTCTAGATTTATTTTTTTTTTTGTATGTGGACGTCCAGTTGTTCCAGCACCATTTATTGAACAGATTGTTCTTTCTCCATTGCATTGTCTTTGCTCCTTTGTCAAAAATTAGTTGATTATATTTATGTGGGGCTATTTCTGGGCTCTCTATTCTGTTCCATTGGTCTATTTTGTCTGTTCTCTCACCAATACCACAGTCTTGATTACTGTACATTTACAGTAAATCTCGAAGTTAGGTAGTGTCAGTCTTCCAACTTTGTTCTCTTCCTTTAACATTGTGTTTGTTATTCTGGATTTTTTGCCTCTTCATATAAACTTTAGAATCATTTTGTCAATATCCACAAATTAACTTGCTGAGATTTTGATTTGGATTGCATTGAATCTGTGTATCAAGTTGAGGATAACTAGCATCTTGACAATATTGAGACTTTTTATCCATGATCATGGAATATCTCTTCATTTTTGTAGTTCTTTGATTTATTTCATAAAAGTTTTATAGTTTTCTTCACATAGATCTTGTTCATATTTTGTTAGATTTATATTTGAGTATTTTATTTTGCAGGGGTGCTAATGTAAATGGTATTGTGTTTTTAATTTCAAATTCCACTTGTTTATTGGTGGTATATAGGAAAGCAATTGACTTTGTATGTTAACCTTGCGTGCTGCAACCTTCTTAAAATCACTTATTAGTTCCAGAAGGTTATCATTGTTGTTAATGATTCTTTCAGATTTTCTACATAGACAATCATGTCATCTACAAACAAAAACAGTTTCATGTCTTCCTTCCCAGTCTACACATCTTTCATTTCCTTTTTTCTTATTTCATTAGCGAGGACTTCCAGATGATATTTAAAAGCAGTGGTGAAAGAGTTCATCCTTGCCTTGTTTCTGATCTTAGCAGAAAAGCATCTGGTTTCTCACCATCAAGTGTGATGTTAGTAGCAGGTTTTGTGTAGACGTTCTTTATCAAGTTGAGGAAGTTCCTCTCTATTCCTAGTTTGCTGGGCATTATCGTGAATGGATTATTGGTTTCCTCCTGATTATGGTCATATTTTCATGCTTTTTGTGCACTGAATGTAACCAAAGGCCTAGACACACATAGCAGAAGAATCATTTGACAAATTGTATGGAAACTGGAAAGTAGGACACAGGGAGATGAAAATGGAAAGATAAGAGCAGCCAGATGATGGAAGGTTTTGTATGGTGTATTAAGGATTTGGGAGTTTATGTGGTAGAAGTACTTGAGCTTGTATGGTAATAAGAATGAGCAAGTATAAAGAAAAGAATTGCTAATTAGAGAAAATGATTGCATTAAAAAGGTTTTAAACCACTAGAAGAGATATAATTCAATATGAAGAGATTGGTCTTTGAAATGAGTAAAATCACTCATTGACTGTAACAAGAAGAAAGGCACGGAGCATGGTACTGATTCTGATAGGTTAGTAGATTCTGTGGTAAGAAGATGTGAGTGTTTCCATGTGATAATTTCCATGGTGATGTGTATAAAATGTAAGTTTGAGTCACTGATCACAGTTTTGGAAGTTTGAAGAGTGAGAAGTCATAAAATTGTTATCTTAGAGAATGCGAAAGTAAATGTACCAGGAAAAGTATCAGGAAAAAGTAAGACTACTGTGGGGTGGTGATGTCTATTTTTGATATTTGGGGATTAACATCCAGTGAGACCAAAAAGCACAGTTGTGTTTCACCCTGCTGAGGTGTAGGCATACAGTAGCACATACACAATTTCAGATTTGCCAGGCAAATGAGTGAGAAAGAGAGTGTCAAAGAAATTAATAATGTGCTATAAGAGAGTGATTATAATGATGAACCAGGAAATGGGTAGGAACATATGTAAGGATAGAAGAGGGGAAATGAATAATGAAAAAGAGTTAGGTTCAGTGGACTTTAAGACTTATGAGGTTTAAATATGCTGAAGTAGAAGTAGTATAAAAATAAGTGAGTGGGCCGGGCGCGATGGCTCACGCCTGTAATCCCAGCACTTTGGGAGGCCAAGGCGGGCGGATCACGAGGTCAGGAGATCGAGACCATCCCGGCTAAAACGGTGAAACCCCGTCTCTACTAAAAATACAAAAAATTAGCCGGGCGTAGTGGCGGGCGCCTGTAGTCCCAGCTACTTGGGAGGCTGAGGCAGGAGAATGGCGTGAACCCGGGAGGCGGAGCTTGCAGTGAGCCGAGATCCCACCACTGCACTCCATCCTGGGCGACAGAGCGAGACTCCGTCTCAAAAAAAAAATAAAAAAAAAAAATAAAAAAAAATAAGTGAGTGAAAATTCTGGAGGTGATAGAGAGGTGGATGCTGGAAAACACAGGTTTGCGAGATCTTTGCTAACTGGAAATGGCAGAATCAAGCCTATTACAATGGGAGCTGGTGATTGGGGTGGAGGGAAGGAAAAGGTCAGTGGAAATGATTGGGTCAGGGGGGTATAGAATATATCCAAATTGATATTAAATATATTATTTTACATATATTCTTTCACATATGTGCATTTGTAACTAAATTAAAATAGTAGATATTACAAATAGAAAAATTAGTGAATGAGATGTGAGGAAGTAGAGACAAGGGTAGATTTTCCTTTTTGAACTTGAGTTTTAAGAGAAAGAGGAGAGTGATAACTAAATAGAATACAAGATAGAGAAAGCTTTCTTTTTTCTCTGTTTATTGATAAAAATGGAGAGATTTAAGAATATTTTTCAACTCCAAGAAATGATCCAAAAGAGAGTCAAATGTTGAAAATAAGAAGAGAAAGAGATAATCCAATAAAACACAATCTTTGTCCTGGGAAAGAAAGAGCACTGTAGAAAAGTTAGCTTTAAACAAGAAGGGAGGCCAGGCACGGTGGCTCACGCCTGTAATCCCAGCACTTTGGGAGGCTGGGGTGGGCGGATCACCTGAGGTCAGGAGTTCAACAGCAGCCTGACCAACATGGTGAAACCCTGTCTCTACTAAAAATGCAAAAATTAGCCGGGCATGGTGGTGCATGCCTGTAATCCCAAGTACTCAGGAGGCTTGAGGCAGGAGAATCACCTGAACCCGGGAAGCAGAGGTTGCAGTGAGCCGAACTCGTGACATTGCACTCCTGACTGGGCAACAGGAGCGAAATTCCCTCTTGGGGAAAAAAAAAAAAAACCAAGAAAGGAAATATTTTTTTCCTCTAAAATGAGAGGGAGGCAGGTCAAGGGAGGTAGAGAGTTGGTTGATAATAGAGAAAAGAAGGACAGGATGTTGAAGCAGTCCAGGCAGCATGATAGCCTTAATTTTCTCTATTCAGTAGAAGGCAAAGGAAGTTTCTGAGAATAAAAGAGGTGCGAGGGTTGGACCAAGCAGCGCAAAGAAAGTCTGTGGAAGCTGGATCCAGTGGCTCACGCCTGTAATTCCAACACTTTGGGAGGGCGAGGCAGATGGATCGCCTGAGCTCAGGAGTTCAAGACCATCCAGGGCAACACGGTGAAACCCCGTCTCTACTAAAAATTAAAAAAAAATTTACTGGGTGTGGTGGCACACACTTCGAGTCCCAGGTGTTTGGGAGGCTGATGCAGGAGAATCACTTAAGGCCCAGAGGCAACGCTTGCAGTGAGTCGAGATCACGCCACTGCACTCCAGCTTGGGCTACGAAATGAGACTCTGTCTCAAAAATAAATAAATAAATAAATAAGAAAGAAAGTCTGTGGAATGGAAGAGAACTGTAGTAGGATGTCAACTAGTGTTAGATTACAAAAGCAAACACTACTCACCATTTGGACCTAAGTTTTAGAATCCTGGCAGTCAGCTAGCAGGTGTATTGGATAAGCATGTCCCCTTTTCATGCTGCCAGATGTTCAGGGTCATGTTTGGATGGGAAAGGCAAAAGTAAAGAGAAGGCACCTTGTATCACTTTGCCCCTAACAGGTCCTTATTGAATATGAAGTCTCCAAATCTCCACAAATTGTTCTTCTACCATAAGATCAAGTTGCTAAGGGTGTCCAGGCAGTGTACAAATTTGCTTTAATCACAAGCACTGTGGAATTCCTTCAAAAACATGCTGTACAGGTGGTGACAGAAGGAAGTGAGAACATGTTTAACAACCTGTTTACAGGCAAGATAAGAGTTTCTTGTTGTGTGTAGTTTTGTCTTGCAAGATTAATTTATGCAATAGCATTGCCAAATGTTTAGGAGCAAGCCATGTTTCTAGGGAAATATACTATACTGTATTCAAAACTGTACATGCAAACCCCACATTTACAGATGAAGAAACTGAGGCACAGAGGGAGTAAGTAAGGTCATAGAGCTAGTAAACAGTGGCACCAAGAATTAAACCAGCGGCCAGACCTGGTCCAAAGCCTGAACCCTAAACTTCATCCATTTTACCTGAAATACATAAATATATTTTGTACACTCATTCATTTATTCAGTAATACATACTGATCAGCTCTCTGTTTGAAAGAGGAAGGGAAGACAGAAAGACCTCTTTGTCCTCCTCCTCCTTCCCCTATGACAAATCTGGGTGCTGCTGGAGCCCAAGCATTCATCTGAGCACAGATTGAGAACACAAATTTAGATCAAATGCACACCAAATGGAGTCTTCTGTGAGGTCCTCTTGTCAGAACTATGACCCAGTCTCTGCTTGTGTACCTCAAAATGCAAAATGAAAAGTAAAATTAGGTTCCTCTTCAAGTTATTATTATTTTGTTGGAAACTCTATTAGCTAGAATTACCCTGTCCAGTAGAAATATAATATGAGCCATATATGTAATTTTAAGTGTTCCATTAGCCATATATATCTTAAAAAGTAAAAGAAATCAGGTGAAATGTTTTTAAAATATATTAATTTAGACTGGGAGGTGGCTCATACCTGTAATCCCAGCACTCTGGGAGGCTAAGGAAGGTGGACCACTTGAGCTCAGCAGTTCGAGACCAGCCTGGGCAACATGGTGAAACCCTATCTCTACCAAAAATGCAGAAAATTAGCCATGTATGGTGGTGCACAACTGTGGTCCCAGCTACCTGAGAGGCTGAGGTGGGAGGATGGCTTGAGCCTGGGTGGTGGAGGTTATAGTGAGCCAAGATCACACCACCACACCCCAGCCTGGGCGACAGAGTGAAACCCCATCTAAAAAAAAAAAAAATTTATATATATAATTTAACTCACTATATCAAAAATATTATCAATATGTAATCAATGTAAAAAATTGACAAGATATTTTGCCTTCTACTTTTTATACTAAGTTTTCAAAATCTGATGTGTAATTTATACTTACAGCAAATCTCACTTTGAACCAGTCACATTTCAAGTGCTCCATAGAGACATGTAGCTTAGTGACTGAAGTCACTATACGACAGTGCAGAACTAGAATATTACTCATTGTGAGGCAAACTTGGTCTCTCCAAAGTTCTACTCATAAGTTCCAGTATATGTTCCTGGGAGTGAAAGAGTACAACTCCATCTTTTTCTGGGGCTTTAGAGATTATCTTATCCAGCATTTTCAATATTGCAGATATAGAGCATAGGTCTCGAAGTGAAGTAACTTACTCCAGGTCATTCATTAAGTTGATGGTAAAGCCAGGATGAGCAACCAGATGTTCTAATTTCCTGTGCTATGCTCTTTCCACAAGCCAATGCTACCTTCTCTCACAAGGCAGACTTCACATATTTTATAACACTTGAAAATACCATTAGACTTCTGTTCTGTTTTAGTTTTCCTCGTGTGTGCCTCTCAGACCTGCCCTTTGCCCAACACATTTTGCATACTGCAAGTACTTTATAAATGGTTTTTATTCAAATGAGATTTGTGCAGTTTATATAAGCAATATGCTATACAGTTATTATTCAACTGTTTTATACAGTTATGCAAATATTTTTGTATGTACATCACGTAAAGCACTGTGACAGGTGATCATAAAGAAAAAATGAAATTTGAGAAGGCTTTGAAATGACCTACCTAGCCCTCATTGACATCTGGTAATCACCGAATTATCTTCTAATGTTCTTAAACTAACTGCTACTGAATATATTAAAGTCTTTTTCTGGGAATCAGTGTTAAACATACTGGCCTTCATTACCCAGAATCCATCCTTCTGGAGAGTTATGGCAATCTTTTCTCATGTCTTTGTCTCTGAACTCTCTCCCATTTTTCTTAATTTATCAGGAATTACTGCTGGTAATTCTGAGACCTCATTTTCAAATTCCTTCAGCACTCTGAAAAGGAATGTGTTTGGGCATGTTAGGGAAATGTTCTCTTACTTGCGTCTCTCCAACCAAACCTCTAACACCAGTGATCCTCAAAGTGTGGCCCATGACCCCTGTGGGTTATAAGTGATAAAATTCAAGCTTTTAAGCCAAAATTAGTATTTTTAAAATCTTATACCTGCTACCATGAACTTGACAGCTTCCGAATATGTAAAGACTATCCTGGTGAGCTCGGTGGTGATATTTTTAAAATGTGACTTTTTTTGCACTGTATAATGAAGTATGTCTGCTGGGGGTGGTGGCTCATGCCTGTAATCCCAGCACTTCGGGAGGCCGAGGTGGGTGGATCACCTGTCAGGAGTTTGAGACCAGCGTGATCAATATGGTGAAACCTCATCTCTACTAAAAACTACAAAAATTAGGTGGACATGGTGGCACACACCTGTAATCCCAGCTACTCGGGAGGCTGAGGCAGGAGAATCACTTGAACCCGGGAGGCGGAGGTTGCAGTGAACCGAGATTGCACCACTGCTCCAGCCTGGTGACAGAGCAAGACTCAGTCTCAAAAAAAAAAAAAAAAAAAAATTCAGAAAAATGAAAAAAACAAAACACCACCTCATCACTAACATTTTTGTTTTAGAATACATGGTTATTTTCGCTACAATGTTATTTATATTATCATGTGATTAGCTTGTTTTTTTAATAATCAGATGATGTCTCAGTTTTCATTTCTTATGTAGTAAATATCAATAACAAAAGCCCTTTGAGATCCTCAGTAAGTTTTAAGAGTGTAAAGGAATCCTGAGACCAAAAGCTTCAGAACACTGCTTACACCAGTGTTCTGTCCATTTCGGTTTGAAAATGAAAGACCTTCTTGTTAAGTTTTTATAGGAAGTAACATATATAACACAGTAGTAAATGGCCCAGGCTTGGCAATCAAATTGACCTACATTTAAATCCTGACTTTGCCATTTACTAGATCTGCTATATTCAACAAGTTATTGAACCTTTCTGTACCATAGCTCCTTGTGTATGAGATGGATATAATTGTACTTCCTATATTATGGGAATTAAATGGCAAAACTTGTTAAACTATTAAACCCAGAATTATCACCATTACAAAAATTTATACTACCTTTTACAAGTAATATGGTTCTAATATAACAATGGGAGGCATTCTAAAGTCTTGAAATTCTCTTTCTGAATCAGGAAGTCATTTCTCCAAACATAATACCAGCTCAGTTTTCCTCCAAACTCATCTTAATGTTTTCTCATACCAGATTCCTAGGCACTAGCAGCATTAAATATCACATTTTTTTTTCTGCTGTAATATTGAAAAGCATGCATTGTGCCTACATGATAGGTCAATTTTTGTATGACATCTCTGTAATAACGTCACATTTGGAAACAGTGCTGTTGCAAAGGCTGAATCGGAAGGGTTAGGCTGAATCAAAGTGTTAATATGAGCAGGTGAGCGAAGCAATTACCATGTACTGTCTCTAAGGATGAGTGTGTCAGTGATCTAGTGATGACTTTGCTAAATTTTAAATTGCTTTTTACTGCAGGTATACACTTAATGGACCCAACCAGAAAACTCTGTCAATGCATACATCACCTTGGGCTGTTTTGACGTATTAAGACTGTGTAACACTGTAACAGCAAATTCTCATAATCACCATGTTTGGACCTGTGATAATGCTAATTCCTTTACTTAATGTAATTGACAAACAACAGGAACTTCTTCAAATGTATCTGTGGGAGCCACATAGATACACTTGGATTAGTATTTTATTCAGGCTCCCTGAGGCTTATTACAATCAGATATATTTCACTTTTCGAAGCTTCATCCACCTTTAAGACTCTAAAGCCATGATTAGAATTGGATATTTATAAAGTTATCTTCAAGTTTGCTGACTCTTCTGTCATTTCCATTCTTCTATTGCCCATCTAGTATGTTATTTCAGATATTGTACCTTTCAGTTGTAAAATTTCCACATGGTTCCTTTTATAATTTCTGTGTCCTTGCTGAGAACTTCTGCCTTTCCATTCATTCCAAGTGTGTTTATCTTTATCTCATGAAACATAATTACAATAGCTGTTTTTACATCTGATAATTCCAACATCTGGGTTATTTTGTGGTTACCATCTCTTGATTGACTTTTTCCCTGGGAATTTGTCACATTTTTCCGGTTCTTCCTAGTTAAGTAATGTTGGATACTGTGTTGCATAGACTCTGGGTCCTGTTAAAATTTTCTGAAAATGTTTGATTGATGATTGATTGATCAATTGATTCAGGCAATCCACTCGATTAGGCTCAGGCTGCAAGTTTTGTCTCATCATTTATGAGTGATAATTCCAATCTGTTTCATTTTCAAAGCCTTTGCTATGCTTCTTTGGTCTGTCCTGTGCATGCAAGCTCAGGAGTGAGCCCAGGACTTGTAGAAGTTCAAACTGAGAATTAGAGGATTCCCTTTTCCAGCTCTCTTGTCTTCAGGATTTCCCCAACCCTCCCCCCACCCTCATACTCCATGGCCACTGGCCCACAGGAGACTCTTTTTCTGGTTCCTCTGGCCAAAAAGCTTGATTTATCTCAGTGTGAGCTGCTCAAGTCACCGTGGTTGTGCAGCTCCACAAGTGGGGCCCACCCTTGGGGCGAAGCTGTTAAGACAATAGAAGAAAAGAAACATCCCTAATATAGGTTGCTTTTCCAAGTTTTGACTCTCTTTCATCATCTGCCTTCTTCCAAATATTTAAAGACTATTCTTGTCAGCTCTAAAAAAGTGTTGTGATATTTTTTTAAATGTGATTTGTTTTTCTGCATTGCATAATGAAATGTGTCAACACTGGAAAATCTACAAAACTCAGTGAACCTGTATTTTCCAAATGACTCATCGATGATGTCACAAAATCAGGCCGGGGTAAAAGATCTATTCAAAGAATAAGATAAACTAATGAGTTTGAATAAAACAGTGTAGAAAAAGTTTATTGATGGTTGTCATCAGTAGGGGACAGAATTTAGTGGTTTTATTCCACCTTGGCTGAAACCAGAAGTTCTCCTGCCTACTTCTCCAAAATTTATCTTACATCAATCTCCCATCACTTACTCTGCTCTAGCCTTTCTCTTCTTACGCTTTCCTAAGTGACCAAGTTTGTTCCTACATCAAGCCATCACACTTGCTCAACTCTCTGTATAAAATCTGTTTTCCCACTCTAAAATGTAAAATCTATGGCCTTTTCTCACTTCTCCACTATTGTATTCCAACTTGACACAGCAGGCATGCAACAAATACTTGTTAGGTGGCCGGTTGGCCTATTTAACTGAGAACCAATCACTTTAAACAGTCTGGGCATTCTAGTTCAAGCAAAAATAAGGCACAAGTTTATTTAATGGATTTTATACCAAACTAGCAAATCAAAGAACTGTAATTCTGGGTTTTGATATAAAAATATATACCAACATCTTATCATCTTACCTGTCAAGAATGTTGCAAGATACATAATTTTCTCATTTGTAGCTTGAACAATTGTTAAATATTTATCTTCTTTGCTGTTCATTTTGCAGGATTTATGCCTTGTGTTAGCTTGCTTTTCTTGTGTCAGTAAACAAAAAAAAAATTTGTCATGACTCCATTACCTGTGAGTTGTTTTAGACTTGTTTTCAAGAGATGAGGTCTCACCCCGTCGCCCAGGCTGGAGTGCAAGGCACAGATCATGGCTCACTGTAGCCTCAACCTCCCAGGCTCAAACAATCCTCCCAGCTCGGTCTCCCAAGTATCTGGGACTATATGCATGCACCACCATGCCTGGATAATTTTTTAACTTTTTTGTAGAGACAAGGTCTTGCTATGTTCCTCAGGCTAGTCTTGAACTCCTGGGCTCAAGCAATCCTCCTGTCTCAGCCTCCCAAAGTGCTGTGATTACAGGTGTGAGACACCAAACCTGGCCAGACTTTTTTGTTTGCTTTGTAAACTTGATTCTGTTTAAGAGGTAGTATGCATAATATGGTAGAAATAAGACTGCTGTGGGTTCAAATCCACTTCTCTATTTACTAGTTGTGAGAGACACCTGGATGATTTAAGTTCCCTTTCAGTCTTTGTGCATAAAATGAGATAAAATCATTGAAGGATGGGTCAAGCCTGTGAACTGACTACTGCAGCATGACACACACTGTGGGCTCAGAACAATGCTATTCTCTTCCCATCCCCTGTAGCAGCCCCCAGTAGTCAGAGTTAATTTGGGCTCTTACCATGCTTTTCCTTCTGTTTTCTTTTCTCTCCTTACTTCAGCTTCCTCTCTTGCTGTGCGCCTTCACTTTGGTCTTTAGGTAGGTGAGCTGACTTATCACAGAATTCCTATGAATTGTCAATGTCTTCAAGTTTTCTGAGGTAGAATTGTGTTTAATTTTCTAGAGAAAGATTTGAGTTGCTTAAAGCTTCAAGTGTCTCCTAGCCAAGTAAATCATGTTCAAAGTGATATTTTTGTTTTAACCCTATTGGATTTTTACAGCAACAATGGCTCAGTCTTCTCCAAGGACAGCTAAACACATTGAATAGTTCTGCTGAGTCTAACAGAAGGGAAAATTTACCTTATGCCTACTCTTTTACCAAACACTAAAAGGTATTTTCCCTTTCAAGCATTTATTTAATATACAGTACTAATAATCCTAAAAGACATATGTATTATTCTTATGAATTATGACTATACACAGTAAATGAAGTATTAGCTAATTAATTAAACAACCACTGTACTTCCATTGTTAAAGATAACCATGTAAAATATTGGGCTTTCCTGTTAATGATATCTCTGCAGAAATACCGAATAACACTTAAGAAGTTTGGTAATTTTCGTATGCATTTGTGAAATTTACATATATTTCTCTTCCTTATAGGTAATAAGGACTGGAAAATGAGATCTCAAGGACATGATTATAATTGAAAAGAGAAGTATAAACATGACTATAATTCACTAATAGTTCTTCCACATATCACGATCTGTTCTAATGTCAGTTAATTGGGCTACTTTAGCTCTCTAGGTTTTATTACTGAGAGAATATTAGCTTACTAGAGATTATTTTTACAGGTTATATTTTTGCTAAATTTCACAATATTTACAGGTCACATTTAACTGTTTATATTATTAGATAGGAGCATATAACTATTTTCATTCTCAGGTATTTCAGATTAATAAACCCTACAGTAAAAGCATGGCTTATTTCCTTGAAAATTAAGTTTGAAGCCTACTTACCAATGTTTAAAGGAGCAGCTCACAATACTATTGGAATGTACTTTCAAATTCCAATGAGGTTGGGTCAGGAAACATTCTAAGTAAATTCTAACTCTTAAGCCAAAATCAAGGGACATATACAATACTTTTTTCTAAATTTACATGACAATTTTTCTCACACTGGGAAACACATTCACCTGCCTTAAATCCTTTCTAAAGCAAAGTAAAATGTTAAAGAAAAAAAGAGTCTCATTAAATTCAGAATGAAAACAAAATGCAGTTGCTCAGGAAAATGTCTTTAAAGTTGCTTAAATCTATTTTAAAATTAAGCATTAGAGGAGGAAAAGTTAAGAGTCAACATTTTCTTTTAAAGTGTCATGCCTAATTTTATGTGGCTGCCCTGATAGGAAACTGATCACTAGCAAAAGGTTAATAATGCCCTTATACAGTTGCAAATTTCTATAGTATCAAATATTCAATTATACTATTTTCCTTTGATCACAAAGTTAAGCTTCTTGAACTTTGAGGTGAGACGAGGTAAGAGGTGAGGGGAAAATAGAAAATACTTTTTGTGAAAAAATATTTCTTTTACTAGATATTGGTACTTTTCCAGAGATTTTTGCTTATGGGTTAAGAATGAAAACACAACACTAGGCCATAAATTTCATCCCTTCTGTTTGTCAAGTAACTCAAAATTTGTAACTGTTTCCCATCAATAAATCATAAATGATATTTCCTTTCAGCTTTACAGAAATGTTTTAAGGCCATAACAGAACTTTAATGTCTTCTGAAAAGAGGTAAGTATTGTCAAAATGCACAAAGAGTATAATTTAAATTTAAAAACTCAACTTGGAGAATGAAAAGGAACAGACTGTTTGTATAGAGTTTGCCAAACCAATTTAGAAAACAAAATGGTTTTAGAACATTGCGACTATTTTGGGTGGTATTCCTAAAAATTCTCCCTAGATATGCCAACAATCATCTTAAAAACTCAGAACTAATGTACAGAGTTGTATAAAGTGAGAATAAAATTGTATAGAGGGTTCTGAGTGCATCTCGCTGGTTGAAAGAATGAAGGAAAATCCCAATGCCACTGTTAGTCAGCAGTCTTCAAATCTTACCTTCCCAGTGAGGCCTGTTCTGGACTACACCATTCAACACTGAAATCTCTCCACCCAGCAATCCTGAGCTCCCTTACCTTTCATTTCTGCTATAGCACGCATTACCTTACATATAGTATGTTGACTATTTTCCCTTGCTAGAATGTAAGCTCCATGAAGGCAAGGTCCTGCTGTTCACCCACTTGTATCCCAAGCATCTAGAACAGTGTCTGACACATATCTGGTGCTCAGTAACTATTGAATAACTTGCAATTTAGAGTTTATTGCATCATGTCATTTAAAGATGCCATATTTCATTTTGCTTCATTCTTAACTCCCTTTTGTAGCTCAAGAAACCCTTCCCTGATCTTTCCAAAGCACTGTTTTAGTCAGGATATAACTTACACTGTGATAAAAAATTGTCCCAAAGTATCAGTCTAAATGGTTTATTTCTTATTTATGCTAATATCTAACAAGTTTAGCGTGGCAGAAGGAACAATTTGAGGGAGTTCTGCTCCAGTATCACTCAAGACCCAGGCTGACAAAGCTGCACCATCTAGAACATGCAAAATCCTTAATCACAGCAGTAGGGGAAGAGAGAAACTGGATGGTAAATTTTTTTCATTGCCTTTACAGAAAGTGGAGTGTCACACTACTTTCTGTATTACATTAGAATAAACTAGTTACATAGGCCTCATTCAACTGCAAGGTGATGGAAATTTTGGGGAGCATAATGTTTGATAACCATTATCACATGCACCTCACTTTCCACAGCATGTATCACAATTTATAATTGTTAATGTAAATTCTGTTTCCTCTACTGGAGTGTAAACTCTTCAAGGGCAGGGATAGAGGGTGTGTTTTGATCACTAATGTATTCCAAACCCATATATACAGCAGGGACTTGGTATTTGTTGAATAAAAAGTTTAAAACCGAATAGTCAAAATAATTAACCTTTTTAATTTTTTAAAGGAAAAATACTCTCCATAGGAAGGCATTTCTATTTTTTGTCCATCAGTAGCCAAATGGAACTTGATATAAACACTTCCAGTATGCCAACTTTGGTTTAATGCACAACTTTGAAAATAACTCATTAAAACACACATCAAGATGCTACTAACAAATTCATTAATATCCAAGATTCATTACTGTATGTCAAAGGTCATCCAGGATTAACATTTTCATTACAATGAACTGTGAAATTCCAATGAAAAATGTTTGCCTGAATTAAATTATTTAATCTCTCAAATTGGAAGTCTAGCACTCTTGAAAATCAAATTCACACACACACAGACACACACACACACACTTACAAACTGCACATTAGGACATGAGGGCAATTTAATGGAAAAAGAAAATAGAAACTGAAAGGGCATTTGTAAAATGTAGGATATCATTTGGACAACTGGATAGAGTAGGCAGAAAATCCTAAAGGTGTACATAAAAAAATAGCCAGTAAATGATAGGCTACAGAAAACCACACTGAAACATTTGATGAATTTCACTGCAGTAAACAGACTTGGCAAACTGAAACACTAGAACCATGACTACAAGCCTCACTTCATTCCACACAAATAAAATCTCTAACCATTATAAGCACAGATGAGAATCCTCATGCAACAGAGGAAATATAAATTATTTTTAATTTTAAAAAATAAAAAATATAAATTCTTGTTAAACACTTGATTTAAAAATATGCAGCTTTATTTTTAAATGTAGTTATGCTCAAAGATGGCAGTTTACTTATATGTAAAAATGTTTTAAAAATATCAATATATTGGTTTATAAGTTCTATACTGCCCTCAGCTAAATATTTTTCACCAAAATTCTCAAATAACTATCAAAAAGAGTTGCATGTTTTTATAAGCCCACTATAATTACTAAACGCGGTAATTTTCAGAGCTAAAGGTGAATCATTAATGAAATATTTTTTGATGTGATAAAAGTCACATGAGCATTTGAATTTAAAGACAACTGATAAGCCAACAGCAGCCTTTTTTTGGCAGGTGTTAAATTAATTTGCTCTAAATTGAGCAACTGTTTGGGAACTACAAAAACTGAAAAGTTCAAACTATAAGGAAGTAGAAAGGTGATGAAGTTTACTAATACAGTGTTTCACACATTCTATTTAACACAATTCCAAATGCAAATGTTTAAGATGATTTTTGAAGAGAAACATCTACAATGTTAAGCTTGTCTATGCTAAACAAATGTAACTTTAATTTACATGTATCATCCTAATGTCAACAATATTTAGACATTCATGATTAAGCCACTGAATTCGAAAGGATTCTCAATAACTACATGTAATCTGCATCTGTGGCATTAGAAAGTAATCAAATCACTGTCCGTTTTCTGATGCAATGGAACATCCTACAAATTCATGACAGATATACTAAGCTAAAAAGCTTTGAGATCAGGTACAGTATAAATTTCATTTTTAAAGAATATACATGGATATACAGAAGAAAACATGATTGTATAGTCACTAACATATTAACGATGGCTATGTCTCCAGGTGATAGGATTATGAGTGATTATTTTATTGTTGTTGTGATGGGGAAGTAGTCTCAAAATACCTAGCTTAACAACCAGAGTACTACCACCAAAGCAAACTATTTTGTCCTTTCCTGTCTTCACATTACAAACTTTTTAAAGCTACCAACCAATATGAATTTGTCTGACTGGCTACCCACATTCTGATATACATATTAGAAGGAAGATCTTTTGGAAGATGGAAAAACAGCAAGATTATGGTCATAAAAGAATAATATGCTCTCAAAAATAAGCAACAATCATTAGGCTTTCTATAGCCACATACAATTAATTCTATAAGAAAGTTGGCTCCAACATTTCATCTTTAAAAGACTTTTTCCATTATCCTGTTTCCTGGTTTTCAGGTACTGTCCTTACAACAGTTTGGACTGAATATTCTTGTTTCCATTCACAAACATTTCTTTCTGAACTAGCAACAGCACTAATCAATAGCTACACTTAAGCCATTTAAGACTAAGCTTTAGATGTGTGTCTAATTATCTGGCAAAAATAAAAGAACCAAAGAGTTTCATGTTAGCAGCAAATTAACTAGATTTAAGGGTCTTGATTTTTTTCATAAGCCTTTGGAAGCCTGCATATTAAACACTGGTGAGTTTTAAATTCTCAATGGAAATGGTGATGGCATTTACTGAACCAAGCCAGCTCATATTACAACGTACAAAGGACATGATATAAAAACAAAACTAGCACATTTCTATTTTTCAAACATCACCAAAATGTCTTCTTATAAATTAGAATACTTTTAGACTCCAGTATAGTTTTCAACCATACGTATACCCAAGATACCGAAAAATAAAATGTGTGTACACATACACTTCATATTTTACATTATTGCACATTTTTTCATTTACTTTTTAAAAAATTACATGGAGAAAATGTAAACTTGAAATAATAAGTCCCACTGTAACATTGTCTACTTTATTTTTTTAACACTTGTACAAACTACACTTTCTTATTACCTTACTATGCTTTGTTGAAAGGATATGCTTTAGTCTTCAAGCTTTTAAGAATATTAGAAACAACATGATTAAATTCAAGTACAAAAAGTCCTTTAGACTATTCCGAAATATCAATTTTTATATGGCACAAGTCATGATGAGTAAATGAAGCTTTCCATATGCTGATGGCAGAGTACAGAATAATAGACAAAAGCCACAAAATTGAAATCTAAAGTATCAAATCCATTCTGGGGAATTATCTTCAAACATCTGTCATAATAAAAATATGCACAATTTTCTAAGAATCTTGGACTTTTTCAGGACTAGAACGCTATTTAATGTGCTTATACAATTTATGAAGTGATGACTAAAGCCCTAAAAATAAGTGTTTTTCCTTAATTAAACATGAGTAGACAGATACTCTACTCTCAGGCCATGTTTTTTTTTTTTTTTTTTTTTAAACAGTAGGCTTTGAAGGACAGCAGGAAAAAAAAAAACTGAAAACTTTGTATTCACATTTGGCTGCCCATTAATTAAAACTTCAATGGACTTAAGCAATTTGAATTATAAACTCTCATTTAATAAAACACCCACACAATGACAAGAATGAGACTTTAATCAGTTTTAAGTGGAGTTTATAACACTAAGAGATAAAGGGTTGTTAACAAACACAATAACAAATGGACATCTGATTGGGATGAGGCATTATCCTGTACACATCATATTGGTATTTTTGTGTATCCTCAGTGCATAGCATTTACACACAGAGCCACTGCTGCACAGCACAAGAGTATCTGAAGAGGCTGAATCAGAGTAAGGCTGTTTAACAGACTGAAATTTTTTAGTATATATATTCTATATGAAAACAGGTTGAACTTTTGAACTGGCAGGTAGAAGGCAACTCTGCCAAATACTACAGTTAAAGCCCCCACTTTAGTGCACAGTTCCACCCCTTCCATCTGCATGCATGACACATTAACAGTATTTAAAGGTAAACGAGGCACTTTGTGGCAACCACAGCCATCGTTATGAACATATTGCACAAAATTTCTAGAACTAAACATTAAACTTGTACCCTACTTTTATTTTTTAAAGCTGAAACATTTGATGCTGCCGGTAAACTCCACTTAAGTTTATAACCTGTGCCACAGCAAAGAATGGTGATGCTATTTATTCAACTACCCTTTTAAAAGTATGGCAAACATGTTCAAGAGGAGCTACAAAGGACTTGGGATGGTACAGGGCCCAACTGTAAGCTTTCTTAAAAGTGATGCCTTCAAGTAACTTCAGACATGTAAGCTGCTGCACATCCAAAAAGTCTAAGAAAATATTCCAGAAACTCAGAGATTACCTACAGAATGCATTTCAGGCTAATTATGAATACTGCCATAAATAAAGTTTTAATTAGGACTCGAAAACCTTTCAGTCATAGCAATTCTTGTCAAATTCTATGGGGATGGTAACTGAAATAAAGTAAGGAGAGTATGTATAATATATATTTATATATATAATATATATAATGCCATTTTTCCATTTCCAATGACTACACCATAAAATGTAAGCAAGGCTTCTCAAAAACATTGAAACATTCAAAATCAAAACCCTCATTCAGACCTTCACATTCCAAAGGAAAAATAATAACAGTGCAAAAGCCCATTATAATGTCATTATTTATGACCTGGCCCTCCATGTTACATATTGGAACAATAAAGTTACGTTTTAATATGCGGTGCCCGAAATTGTAACAAAGAACAATATTTATAACTATCTTCAAAACATGAAGTTGATTTTCATTTTAGGTAACAATTTTCAGCTTTTATGAAAGACAAGGTGGCATATAAATTTCAATGGTGAGGTGTTAGAATAGTTGTCTCTAACTTTACCAATTTAACTTATGAGCAATCAATCAATACTCTATATATCAATGTTTAAATATAAATGTGTAAATCCTAAGAGCTTTGTTAAAAATTTAAAAATTGTTGAATGAAACTGACAAGGTATGGAAAACGTGTCAACATTATTTACTAAGAATATTTTAGATGAAGTTCTGCCTAATCTATTTGCCATCAAACTCTATAAATGCTGCTCTAGTAGGTCCTATTCAATCTGTATTTGTAAATTAACTAGGTCAGACCACAGCTAGTGAACAATTTCAGCACCAATAAGTTATTGAAAATGGAATTTTATACCATTAAGAAACAAAATGGCTGGATATTCAAATGTCAAGGTGAAGGTATAATTTGAAGACACCAAATTTCTGGAAAAAAAAACCTTTTTAATAATATCTTCACATTAGCTTTACAATAGTAGTTGTACTCCGCTTAAAATCGTATGCAGTCTGGGCATATCAAATATATGATGATTTTTTTTAAGAAGTGAAATTGAAGCCCTAGTCCCAACTCGGGGGAGCACTATGAAGAAATGATTCAACACTGCACATTTAAAAAAAAAAAAAAAAAAAAAAAAAAAAACCCTATTCTTTCAATAGCAAATCAATAAAGCACATGTAGGACAATTTCTACTGAAAAATCAAATGTCTTTTTTTTGTGTGCAGCATTGAAAGTTTACTGCAACTCTAATTTCCTTTTTAACACAAATGTCCTTTTTAATATAAACATTATATGTATTCAGTATTCAAGTAAAATTCCCTAACAGTTAATGACATTTAAAAAATGTGCAAAACTGCAAAATTCATTGTAATAGAATGTGTAAGGTCAAAAGGGTGGAACGGCTGACAGCTATTGAATAAGTGCATCATAAATCTTCAAAGAAAAAAAACGCTTACTGTAGAATCTCAAATTGAAAATTTCTGTGCAGCATTACAAAATATTTTATATTTAATGAGAAAAAAGAAGCTTGCAGGCAGCACATGAAGCATCCACAGCAGGTATTATGATTGAAAACTAGTAAAATAAGTGTAAGTTGTTGACTGATGTAGGTACTAACAGCATCTGAATTTTAGCACTGGCCTTGATTACACAGGAGATGGAGAAGTCGTTACAATTGAGAAAACATATTTAATAAATCATTGTCAATTTTTATAATGTTTCAAGCCCATTCTTTGTTGATAGCCTCCACATTTATATGGTTAAGTCATTGTTGCTGTGTTTCTTACCTATGACATTATTTTTATATCCCTTCATTTGTGGATCTTAAGATGTTGCAGAAGGTTCATTCCTGTACCCCAATACAGATTCACTTCCTTTAGCTGCCTTTTCTAGCACCAATATGCTTTAAAAAAAAATGCGCAAACAACAAGCAGTGACAGCGGCCAATTCCTCGAATGTCCAGATTAATAACTGTAGCATGCTAAAGAAAGGTGTGTGTAAATAGCTGGAGATGGTATATGGTCCAGAGTCCAGCATAAAATTATTTCCTTTCTGAGCATTCCCTCCATTCCCCTAACCCGAATACATGCATTAGAATGTAGCAAAACCCTTCGGAAACCTCTCTTAGCCAACTGCAAACTTATCTGTTGCCACAAGTGCAAAGGGGTAGGATGTGAACCAGTATATCACAAAGCTCTTTAGCCACTTCAGTTGGTGACAGAACACAAAAGGAAAAAATTCCTACGTATACACATCAGTCTGTCTCCACTTTTTATAAAACTGGAATAAAACGGGAAAGTGCCATCTTTATTAATCCTAATTGAATTTTAAATGTCCTTTTGACACAAAAAGGTATATACATGACACAGCTACACAACCTTTTTTCAACTGGACAACAAGTGTCAAAACCCTGTGGATGTATAGGGTAAAACAAGATTGGTCAGGAAAAGAGAATTGTTCCTATAACTGGTAATCTGACACAATGTCCTATTGCCATTAAAAAAAAAAAGGTCCATTTTCAGTTTATTCAAGTTTATTTTCATGGTGTTTTATCCCTCTTGATAAAAAAAAATTCAGACTTTTGTAATTTGTGTATGCTGATCTTCATCAAAAGGTTCATTCTCTGGATCAGAGTCAGTGGTGTCAGAATATCTATAATGATCAGGTTCATTGTCACTAACATCTGGTGTTACAGAAGTTGAACTGCTAGCCTCTGGATTTGACGGCTCCTCTACTGTTTTTGTGAAGTACAGCTTCACCTAGAGAAAGAAAATTTAAAATGAAAACCCACAAATATGACTCATCTTAAACTATTTAGTGAAATATATTTTTAACAGATTTTTTATTCCATTTTGCAGATGAACATATTAATTTTTAAGCACTGTAACAAACATGATCTTTAAGAGGCCTTTTAAATGACCCTCTTCTTAAGATGTTCAACATTTTCTTTCTTGCTAGGTACTAAACAGATAAACTATCAGGATGTTAATACAATTTATTTATTTTTATTTCTGGAGACAAGAGTCTTGCTCTGTTGCCAAGCTGGAGTGCAGTGGCATGATCTTGGCTCACTGCAACCTCTGCCTCCCGGGTTCAAGCAATTCTCGTGCCTTAGCCTCCCAAACAGCTAGGGCTACAGGTGTACACCACCATGCCCAGATAATTTTTTGTATTTTAGTAGAAATGGGGTTCATGATGTTGCCCAGGCTGATCTCAAACTCCTGAGCTCAGGCAATCTGCCTGCCTCAGCCTCCCAAAGTGCTGGGATTACAAGTGTGAGCCACCACGCCCAACCTCAATTTTATTTTTTAAGGAATATAAGTGGCAAATATTAACTAAATAATTATACAAAATAAATGCAGATTGAAAGTCATCAATAGTTTACATAATATAGCATTTGAATTACAAAATTCAATTCACAAACAGCTGAGTTCAAAAAGAATGTTTCTCTTACTACCTATGTGAAAAATCAATGTATTTCTTTGTGTGTGTGTGTGTGTGTGTGTGTGTTTTTGAGACAGGGTCTTGCTCTGTCACCCAGACTAGAGTGCAGTGGCATCTTCACAGCTCACTGCAGGCTCAAACTCCCAGGATCAACCTCAGCCTCCCAAGTAGCTAGGACTACAGGTGCATGCCACCACACCCAGCTAGCTTTTATATTTTTTGTAGAGATGGGATTTCACCATGTTGCCCAGGCTGGTCTCAAACTCCTTAGTTCAAGGTGGGAGGCCCACCTTGGCCTCCCAAAGTGTTGCGATTTTAGGCGTGAACCACTGTGCCCGGCTTCAATGTAGTTTTTGATATAAACAACACTACACAAACACAAACTACTGATCAACATTGATATTTGGGATTTATTAGCCCTAAAAACTTTACCTAAAGGGAGGAAGGAGAGGGACATTAACATAATACAGTGGTCTATAACAGAGAGTCAAGTGCCTTTACATGCCTAGTGAAAATAACTGTCAAAACAACCTTACATGTTAGGTATTTCCATTTCCAAGGGGAGGTAGCTAAGGCCCAGAAAGGTTAGGGAACTTGTTAAAGGCTACATATCTATTAAAAGTAGGTAGTGGATGTGAGATTTAAATCAGAAATGACTTCAAATCCCTTCTTCATTATATTATATTGACAGCCCCTCCCTCCCCTATTATCCAAGAGTCATTATCAATTCTTCTCTTACAACCAACATCCACTGCATCAGTAAACTCTTTAAGTTAATCTGACAGCTTCTTGTTACCCTTCACTGCCACTATTCTAAGCAGTGAGGGGCAACAAGAAGCAAACATCTTCTCTCATCTTTACTAAACTATTCAAGTACCTCTTAACTGATCTCTCAGCTTCCTTTATTACCCCTTCTCCCTACTTTCCTCACTCATCTGTATTTTGAAAGCATGAACACAGGGAATATTAAACACAAAATTCAGATTACATCCTTCCTATGCTGAACACACACTAGTGTCTTTACACTTGGACTGGTTTTCTTGTCCACTCTGTTTCAGTCAAAATGACTTATCCACTCTTCAGATATACCAAGCTCATTCTCTTGTCTAAGGGCTTTTGCATCTGTACTCTTAACTCTTTTCCCAGATATTTGTATAACTCACTTATATGATTTAGGCCTCTGCTTAAATGTTATCTGCTTGGTTGGGCCTTCTCTAATCATCTTTGCTAAAAAACAAAAAACATACAAACCAAGATTACTTTCTATCCTGTCTATTTTTTATAGCACTTACTACTATATGACATTGTATTTGTTTACTAATAATGGAGTTTTTATTTGTAATCACAAATATAAAACATCTTGCAATATTAAAATAGAAAACAATAAAACTAAAGGGAAAAAGACATTTTAAAAGTTAATGGCTGAGCAAAATGCAGATTTAGAGAAAAGAAAGGAAACCTGTGGATTCTAAAGAGAATGTCTAGCCCGGAGGACATGATGTTAAGTAAAATAAGTCAGGTACAGAAAGATAAATACCGTATGTTCTCACTCATATATGGAAGCTAAAAAAGTTGAGCTCATAAGAGTGTGGTTATTAGAGGCCGGGAAAGGGAGTGGGAGGGGAGGATAGGGAGATGTTGGTTAAAAGATAAAAAATTACACACAGGAGGAATAAATTATAGTGTTCTATAGAACTGTAACTAGTCAACAATAATTTACTGTATATTTTCAAATAGCTAGAAGACAGAATTTTGAATGTTCCTAACACAAAGAAATGACAAATGTTTGAGGTGATCCATATGCTAATTATCCTGATTTGATCATCACACACTGCATACATGAAAATATCACTCTGTATCCCATAAATATGTACAATTATTATATATTAAAAATTTTTTTAAAGGGAAACTTCTGAACACTTAAAAAAAATTTAAGGGCTAAAGACATTTAATATTAGATCTATTTTCACTTAAAACGTGCAGGGGCCCAAGTATTACTATTACTACCAATATACATACATACATACATACATATATGTATGTATATTGGTAGTAATAGTGTGTGTGTGTGTGTGTGTGTGTGTGTGTGTGTGTATATATTTTTTTTTTTTTTTTTTTTTTAAGACAGAGTCTTGCTCTGTTGCCCAGGCTGAAGTGCACGTGCACTGGTGTGATCTCGGCTCACTGCAACCTCCATCTCACAGGCTCAAGCAATTCTTGTGCCTCAGCCTCCCAAGTAGCTGGGATTACAGGTGTGCGACACCATGCCCAGCTAATTTTTGTATTTGTAGTGCAGATAGGGTTTCGCCATATTGGCCGGCTGGTCTTAAACTCCTGGGCCTCAAGTGATCCGCCTGCCTTAGCCTCCCAAAGTGCTGGGATTACAGGTGAAGTATTACTAGCAATATTCTTAATACTCAGACGCTACAGTTAGATTTATTACATGTTATAAAAATTGAATGAAAAATTAAGAGAGAGTAAAAAAGAGAAAGAAACGAGTGTGGTGAATGAACAGGGGAAAATCAGGTAGAATAAGAAATAGGAAGGGGGAAGAAAAAAATGGTAAACAACCACTTGGGAATGTTTACAAATCAGATTTTTTTAATCTGAAGAATTCTTGTCTATAAGTAGATATATATACCTATGTAGAAATACATATATCACACATAGGCAAAAATGAAACAAACCAAATAATTCTAAGATACAATATAAGGAAATAGGATTTTTAAAAAAAGAATAACGGGAGGACAATCAAAGGACTTCAGAGAATATGAGATTGAAGCTAAGGCTGGAAATATGAAGATAGCTATGGAAGGTCAGGGGAAAAGGCTGAGATGAAAAGGTACAGGGAGAAGGAAAATAACTGGAAAGACTAGAAGAGGCAGAAGCTTAGCATTTTGAAGAACTGAAGAAAGACCAGTATGACTGAATCTCAAGAAACAAGGAGAGAAGGTGACTAGTGCTGATGTAGGAGGTAGCCCTGTGCTAAATTATGCTGGGCCTTGTAGGTCATGGTAAAAAAAAAAACACAAGGTCCTTATAAAGTGTAAACAGAAGTGACACAATCAAGTCTATTTTTAAGATCACTCTGAGGGATTGAGAATAAATTGGAAGGCAGACAGGAGTGGAAGCAGTAAAAACATTCCATATGAATCATTCCCAAATGACTGAGTTCCCATCTATTTCTTTCCTCTCCCATTCCTACTTCATATCCCAGTCATTTAGCCCCCTCCCGCACCTTTGCCCCAGATTTCAGCAAACAACGAAGAATTAGGAAAAGGAAAAATGCAGCTTTTTTGACGCTGTGTACATTGGGTATTTTATTAGAAACTTTCATGTTACTGCTACGTAAACACTGCTTCGAAATAATACATAAGTTAAAAACTTGTCAAGCAAGTTCTTCATCAGCTGTACTCCTAGAATTAAACACACATCACATACATACAAGTCAACAACCCCCACAAAATGTTTAATTTAACTGACCTTAAAATTTGGAGAAAAGTATCGGTTGGCTTTGTCTTTATTTGCTTTGTCAAGATCATTTTTTGTTAAAGTAAGTACTAGATATTCCTTGTCATTATCTGCACGCTCTATACTGCAAATGCTATCGATTTCTTGATCACATAGACTTCCATTTTCTACTTTTTCTGAGGTTTCCTCTGGTCCTGGTATGAAGAATGTATTTACCCAAAAGTGAAACATTTTGTCCTAAAAAAAAAAAAAAAGAAAAGAAAAAGAAATGAAATGACATATTTAATTAATGATGTTTTATTTTTTTAAAAAAGAAAATCTGTCACCTATGTTAAACATTTGCAAAAAGTCAACAAAATAAACTATCATTTGATATTCTGAATAAAGGTAAACACAAAGACTATTATAAGGCAATCTGAGTTATCTGTTGCATTTTCATTCACATGATTTTTCTTCACTCAAATTCTCAAATTTTAAACCAAAAATACAATCTCACAAGATCTAAGATAAACTACTTTTGCCTTAAAATTTTAAGTAAAAAAACCTCTTTTCTCATCTAATACTAGCTTTAAATACGTTTTTAGTTTACGTGTACATACATATAAACAAAATTCAGATATGGATTTAATTTTTTCTACATTTCAAATGAGCTACCTATTCCAAGATTTACTTTAACAAAAGTTCTTGGACGGTGAGTGCAACTTCCCTGATGACGCATGGCAAATACATGTTTACTTCTACAGCAATACAAACATGAGAAGCTCCAGTTTCTTACATGACAATATAATGCTTGAATACTTTCAGAATAAATATGAGGGGGTAGGAAAGAGTACTACTGATTTCTTTTGATGTTATAAAATGCTTGTTCTTAAAAAAAATCACTTCTTACTAATAAGATAATACCTTCTTAATAAAAAAACACAACAGAAGTTCATCACTTTAAACCTCTATTGACCAACAAAGAAATCTGGCCTGTATAAATCATTTGGCAATTAATGATATACAGCCTTGTGACATCTTATCTGGTACCTGGTACCTTAAAATGCCATTTAAATCTTTTATTCTAATTTATCTTAAAGTTTTTTATCCCCCAGAAAATAAGATCCTTAAGGATGTTACGTCTTAAATGTCATTGCATCTTTTAACAGTACCTGGCAAAGTAATCTTGTATACAAGGTCTTTAAAATTTTTTTTTTGCTTATTTCAATTATTTTAGCCAGTAATTGTATTTTACTTAGAAGAAAATAAGCCAATAATATTTAAATAACAAAAAGGTGAATTCTATATATATATGGGTTATACTAAAATTTTTTGTGTTTTAATCATAGCATATTCTTAAATAAGGCAGGGAAAATCAATAAAATGGAAATTTATGTAGTCAAGGATAAACAAATAAATCATAAATATTTAATCTAACCTTCAATTTTGCATGTGTTAAAGTACAGATGAAGGGAAATAAGAATTAGGAAATTCCTAAAGGTATGCAGAGATGATGATGTAGATGCCTATTTTTGAAAGCTAAATAAAACTTACTAGTTATCTTAATTTTAAAACAGTTGCTAATACTTCCTGGATTATCAAAAAATAATTTTTCTAAGTTATTGAGATATATTTAACTTTTATTTGTACAGACGATAGGAAATGGGTTTCTGGCTAAAAAAAAAAAAGTTCAGCATATTTTGATTTTTTTTTCCAGCTACTTGGATTCTGGATAAAGGAAAATTATATCTCTACTGATACATCAAAGCAGCATTTAAAATTTTGCAGTAAATGAAACTTCCTCTTATTTTCTTTCAAAAGAAAAGCTAAAAATCAGAAAAAGTAAATAAATCCTATCATTGAGAATGTTTAAAGATTGGCAATATGCTATCTAGTATGTTTAACAAGGCAGCAACACTACAAAGTTAGTCCTTTTCTTCATTACTATCTAAAAATGTTGCACCTTAGTCTCACTTTAAATATTCACATTTAATATTTTAAATGAAGATAGTTGTTGTTTTTTTTTTCTTTTTTTTTGAGATGGAGTTTCACTCTTGTTGCCCAGGCTGGAGTACAATGGTGCATTCTTGGCTTACTGCAACCTCCGCCTCTCGGGTTCAGCAATTATCCTGCCTCAAGCCTCCTGAGTAGCTGGGAAAACAGGCGCCTGCCACCACACCCGGCTAATTTTTTTGTATTTTTAGTAGAGATGGGGTTTAACCATGTTGGCCAGGCTGGTCTCGAACTCCTGACCTCAGCTGATCTGCCCACCTCAGCCTCCCAAAGTGCTGGAATTACAGGCGTGAGCCACCGCACAGGGCGGATAGTTGGTTTTAAAATAATAAGACGTTGCCTTCTCTAAATACAGATCAATCAAATTCAAACTTCATTAACTTTCTAAACCTGCACATTTAAATACCATGTTTTCATTCTTTATTACTTCCTCTTCATACTGATTTCTCTCCTAGTTAAAAAATTAATCAGTAAATCCACAGAAGCTAAATAGAAAATAATCAAGTCTTAAGAAACGTTAAGGCCAGGCATGATGGCGCACACCTGTAATTCCAACTCTTTGGGATGCCAAAGCGTGAGGACTGCTTGTGCCCAGGAGTTTGAGACCAGCCTGGGCAACATAGTGAGACCCTGTCCCTACAAAAATAAAAATAAAAAAAATTAGCTGGGTGTGGTGGCACATGCTTGTAGTCTTAGCTACTCAGCCTGGGCAATAGAACAAGACCCTGTCTCTAACAAAAAGGAAAAAAAAAAAAAAGGAAAGAAAAAGAAACATAAGCCAAAATGGAGAAAAAGTGGTTTGTGTCACTACATAAGACCACAGAACAGATCTCATTTCTACCTATAGACCAAAATTTTTAAAATATTGGTCCCATGCTAATTTCTTCTCAGTTAACCATCCTTGTTAAGAAAAATTCCTCTCATGTTACAATGCCATAAGGCCTTTTCCTTCAAACAGGATTATTTACCCTTATAATGTCTCACCAATGCCAGAGTAAGCAAAACACCTGCAGATCTAATAGAAAACAAATTATAGTTCCTTACATGTCATAAAATAAAATATAGCTTTTAATCTGTCCTTATTTTGGATATTTCTCCCAATGAAAGTAAAGTACAAACCTTTTTTAGCATCTTGTTCTGTTTGTGGAAGAACTCTACTTTGATATCACCACACACAGGTAACGGCTGAGGGAACTCAAAGTACATGAACTTGTCTTCCCGTCGTGTGGGTCCTGAATTGGAGGAATATATCTTCACCTTTAGCTGGCAGACCACAAACTGAGGATCTGCATGGTTAAATACATACCAGTATTATTTCACAGGAAATGCCTTTAACTGTCAAACTGTCAAAAACGATTTTAATGATTAATATCAGCAATATACACGAAATATGGATTCTGTATCTGCAATCTTGATCTCAAGCAAATCAACTGAAATAAATGAAATAAAAATATAAACAATGTAAGATTTTCTCCAGTTTGAACCTTCAAAATAAGGTCCTATTACTTATATAAAAGTCAATTCCTATTTCATGAATAGTAAGTCCCAAAATTAGACTTCTAGTGGCAGAGTAACTTCAAAACTTTAACATTAAAATCATACTAAAAATCCTAATACAAATAAAAACTTTAAGCATTAAAAACGATGAAATAATTATCTGGTACATTTGTGAACTACATCAAAAGTAACTTTTAAGACAGATATCAACAGGGAGTAGTCACGAAAAATTTTTAAATGTAAAGAAGACAGATATTTGCTATAGTATTCTTAAGTCTCTAGCATGCGGCAAAGATCACAAAATACAAATCACTACATGTTCACAAGAGAAAGAGGATAAAACCTATAACAATGTTATAAAAAATTTCAAAAACACAAGTCTAAATATTTATTAAAAAATTAACCATCATTCATTTTCCTATAGCTCACATTTTAAAGGTATATAATGCCACCATCATAACAGGAAACAAGAGATTTGAAATTTCTGTAAAGAAATGTAACAGATTTCAAGTAAAAACTGCAGCACAACCTTCCTTTCCTCCAAAACACCTCATTTTCATTAACAAGTATTCTGGCTTTGGCTCATGTCTGTTTTAAATAACTGGTAAAAAATAAAGTAACTGGTAAAATATAACTTCTCAAAATTCATCATGCTTTTACACTAGCAGTTGAACCAAATGGTGGGAAAGTGTGTTAAGGGAAGGATTGTATGTTTTATTTTTTAAATCTACTCATAAATTCATTTATAGCTAATGACCTTAATGACAGAAATTAAAGACTGATGAATGTTATGATCCCAGGACTTCAAAAACTGAAAGTTACCTAAATAATTTGACAAAGTATAATTCATTTGTCATACGCTGAGGAATTAGAAAACAAAAGTCCATTACAAAGAAATTTATTAACCTTAGGAGGTTAAGAAGTGCCATTTGAAGAAAACATGCCAAGATAATAGAGAAACAGGAACACAAAGTTACATAAAGTGTATGAGAAATATTATACATATTTAAATATATTTTGTATTTATATTACGTATATATATATATATATATAAAACAAAAAATTCTCAGCACCAAAAGGTGTCATTATTCTAAAAGATAAACAAAAGTCTTACATTTTTATCAATGTGACTGAGAACAAGGCAAAGCTAAACCAAGTTAAATGAAATTTCCAGTTTAGTAAACACCTACTACTATTTCTATGTAATATCTAAAGCAGTATCAGCCATCACATAATTAATATGTTTGATAAAAGCATGCAGGCTACTCCAACATGGTCTTCTAAGACACTTATTATTCAAAAAAGCTACCACAAACAGGATAAATATTACACCAACAATCTATCAATAAATTTCACTTCCTTGACTCAAAGTTCAAAGTGCAATGAGCCATTTCATAAGACTTTATGTGATACTGAAATTTCACTGGGAAATCTAACTTCAAGAAGCAAATAAACAAAGTAGGATTCCAAAGCTGTGATAAAATTAACCAGAATAAAACTGAAAAACTGCCTTGTAATCTTTTTGATTTAAACTCCATTAATTCAGAATCTGATAATCCTGATTTTAGGACTTTAAAAAGCAAATTAATAGTATTTCCAGGTTTCAATTAAACTACATCTAAAATGTGCATCTTCAAATATTATAGTATTATATTAAAAATGTATAAGTAGTAAAGATTTCCTCAATCACTAAAGAAAATAATCTTCTCTGCAATATGAATATCATGTTTCAGATAGATAAGACCTAACTAAGCAGAAGTCCAATATTAGTATGGTTCTGTGGACTTCTACAATATATATCCTTGGATATATATGACTATGTTCCAAAAAATAAATAACAAGATCCAGACCTAGTGATATAGTTTGGATATCTTTCCCTCCCAAATCTCAGGTTGAATTGTAATCCCCAGTGCTAGAGGTGGGGCCTGGTGGAAGAAGCTTGAATCATGGGGGCAGATCCCACATGAATGGCTTGGGCCATCCTCTTGGTGGTAAGTGAGCTGGCATTTAAAAGTGGGTGGCACCTTCTCCCCACCACTCCTTCTCTTTCTTGCTCCCATTCTCACCATGCTCCCCTTTTGCCTTCAGCCATGATTGGAGGCTTCCTGAGGCCTCCCCAGAAGCAGATGCTGCTATGCTTTCTGTACAGCGTGCAGAACCATGAGCCAATTAAAGAAGAATTCATAAAGAAAACAGGTTAAACCTGTTTAATACTCAGTCTCAGGTATTTCTTTAAAGCAATGCAAAAACAGACTAATACACCTAGTAAATGAAAATCAGAATGTAAAGAATGGAATGATAAATAGTGGAGACTTGAAACGGTGAGTAGAAGATGAGAAATTACTTAATGGGTACAATGTATATTATTCAGATGATGGACAACCTAAAAGCCCTGACTTGAAACTATACACTCTATGCATGTAACAAAATTACACTTGTGTCCCTAAATCTATACAAGCAAAACAATTTTTTTAAGTCAGAATTAAATTTCCTTGGATATATACATATTGTTATAGTCTTGAATGAAAACCACATTGATCATCTTTTAGTAACATTTTTAACCCTGTTAAATGTCTAGAATATAGTAGCTTTTTCCATCTCTTAGAAATATTAAGACAAAAATCAAGAAAAAGCTGCCAATCCCTACAGAAGATGCTGTATTTTTCAGCACTATCTGTTCTCTACATTGATTCCTCTTCTTCTTCCTAAACCCAAGTTGCCATTCTTATCTCAGTCCTCACCCTCTCCTTTTCTTCCTTTCCTCCAAGACTTCCCATGCCCAAACGCCACACCATTATTTATATGAAAGGCTTAACTACTCTCCCTTTCCTGATGATGCCCAAAATATCGATATATCTCCTACCTAGATTCGAACCCATACTCCCAAGTACCCACTGAATATTGTCATGTGAGAAGCTCACTTTTACCGGATTTAAAACACGTTTAAAACCAAAATATCAACATTAATGTCTCCAAGTCTCAGATTCACTTTTCTTTCTTTCTGAGACTATTTCACCTGACTGGGCTCAAAACTTTTACAAAATCTTTGGCTATAAATGGCAAATAAAAAATTAATGAAATCCCATTTGATTGTCTTAGCATACCTGCATTAAGGCAAGTTTTATTACTGGTTTCTTTTCCACTATTTTTTCCTCTTGCGATTACAACTTTGCATACAACTGTCCTTAAAACATGGTTTAGTCCTCAAGTATTATCATGACATCTCAGTATTTATGAAATCAAGTCTGTTATCCCCATTCAAGATCCTCTAACAGTCACTCACACGTTCCATACCTATTCTCTGACACTACATTCTTGTCCAGCTTTTTCCTTCTGCTGCACTTCCACTCAAGCTATTTCCCATTGCCTGTAATACTTCTTTCAGTAGTTTTTAATTTATTTACTTATTTTTTTTTTAAGACGGAGCCTCACTCTTACCGCCCTGGCTGGAGTGCAATGACGCAATCTCGGCTCACTGCAACCTCCACCTTCGGCTTCAAGCAATTCTCCTGCCTCAGCCTCCCAAGTAGCTGGGACTACAGGCACGCATCACCATGCCTGGCTAATTTTTGTATTTTTAGTAGAGACAGGGTTTCACCATGTCGGCCAGCCTGATCTCAAACTCCTGACCTCAGGTGATCCATCCACCTTGACCTCCCAAAGTGCTGGGATTACAGGCGTGAACCACTGCGTCTACCACTGCGTCTGGCCACTTCTTTCAGTTTTAATGCCAGTCTAAACTGTATGTTTTCTTCAATGTTCAATAAAGAACTGGTGAACTTCCTTTAAGAAACTGTCTGACAACCTTCAAAAGCTTTTCTGAATGTAGCATTTATAATTTATATACACAACTTCCCATTTATTTTATTTTATATTTATTTATTTATTTCTAAGACAAAGTCTTGCTCCGATGTCCAGGCTGCAGTGCAGTGGCATGATCTCGGCTAACTGCAACCTCTGCCTCCTGGATTCAAGCGATTCTCCTGCCTCAGCCTCCCAAGAAGCTGGGACTACAGGTGTGTGCCACTATGCCCAGCTAATTTTTGTGTTTTTAGTAGAGATGGGGTTTCACCTTGTTGTCCAGGCTGGTCTCGAACTCCTGAGATCAAGCGATCCGCCTGCCTCAGCCTCCCAAAGTGCTGGGGTTACACGTGTGAGCCTCGTGCCTAGCCCCACAACCTCCCACTTAATTACATATAGCTCATATTTTATTAAAACTTTACTACAGTATTAAATCATAGTACATAAGAGGAAACTAGAAAATGAGGAAAGATTACTAAAGTGAATGTTTTCTTTCCCTTAATATCTGCATGATACTTTATACCTTTCTCTTGGCTCTTACACTGATATCAATACTATAGGAAGAGCATGAGTTTTTCTTCCTTTTTCCTTCTCTATGAATCTGTTACATTCATCTGTCAGTCACTTCCAACAGCTCAGTACCTTGCATTCAGCAGTTTTAAAAATTGTACTGAGATGAAAAGAGCATCAATGAGACTCTTTAGAAGACTTTAACATGCTATACTAATAAATCTGTGGTCTTTGATAAAGTTATCTGTCTCTAAGAATACAGAAAAGATCTGATGAGGATGATCACACCTATCTGACAACAACATCAGAGAAGTAGAATAGGATCAGGATGACTGAGGTAGACTTATAGAGATTAGGGTAAAAGGGAGAAATAAATAGAGGCAGACATCAGTGACATAATCTGTATTTAGTACTTATCCAGGAAGTCTCAGATTTCAAAGTCTCTTCATTTTATTGACAAGCAAACTCAAAGAGAGGTAGATGATATGCTCAGGGTTACGCAATAGATTAATGACAGAGATAGGACTAGAATCTGGATCTAAATCCAGGTTTTCTCTAACACTCCACATACTTTGATTCCTATTCTTTACTCATCATACTTCAGCTTGCTGCCACGTCTTATCACTTCTTCCTTTCCTTTTCATTGCTTTGTCACCATTACTGTCAATACCTAGTCTTCCTAAGATATTAAGGAATTGATCCCTGCCCTAAGAGCAGCAAATTGCTGAACTCCTCTGGTGGACCTCTGCTGGACCTCATGCTGGACCTCTGATGGGACAGGTTCTTCCATCATCTAGTCAGAATTGGGCTGTATTTGGTGGTTATAACACAGAATATTTCTTTCATAAATATAATTTGGCTTCGACTACATTAAAACCCATTGCTTTTGGCTTCTTTAGCCCAATGAGTTGAACAACAAAGCTAATTAATTTGTTCAAATGCTTCAGAAATATAGTCTCCTGCATAAATTTCAAATGTGGTAAATTTCTTTCTAAATTTTTATGTAAACTTCTAGATATGGTTAAGAAAACTGTTCCAATACATGGAAGGATGAGAATTTCAAGCACTTACTGCAAGTTCCGCCACTGAACATTGGAATAGTTTCAAACATCATCTTGTGAAACAACAGTGCCACTGGTCTATAATCCAGATGATTCTTTAACAGGTAGCTATAATAATACACATAGCGCCTCTGACTGGGAATAGTTACTCCCTGGTGGACAGAAAAAAAAGAGAAGCCAAATTGAAAAAAAATGTTCCATTATAGTTATTTCACTAAATTGCTATGGTAACTGGGTCGTAGCCATTTAAGAACATATATACATTAGAAATTTGACCTTAAATGATTAATACTTAAATCCAGCTCAATAATAAATAAGAGCAATATCAATACAAAGGATATCAGAATAACTCTCCTCCCTTAAAACAATTATCATAACAACCCATTTATTCAAAGGTCACAACAGCGCTCTGACCCATGAACCCCATAGGCAAAGGCCACTGCATATCCAGAATAAGTGTCAAAGGCCTCTGCCCTACAGCTATGCTCTATACACCTAGGGCTCCCCACAAGGATTTATGGACTCCTTAAACACACAGCTCCTCACAAACTTGATTACCTACTTTCCAGGGGAAAGAGTATCAGAATCAGCAAACTAGACAGAGGCATATTGCCTTTAAGGCAGAAACAGCAGTAGCAAAAAGTGATGCTGGCATTAGGGCCCAACAAAAACAGGACTATGCAGTTGATGTAAATGTGTGAAACAATCTTCTAACACAGGTAAAGCTATCCTTGTACTACATGCATCTCTTTGTTGAAGAAACCAGGGAAAAATGAAGTGTTTTAGAAAATGTAAGTATTACAAATGATTAAAATGTATCTAGTTCTCAAGAGTTTATTAAACAATAAAACATAAATAAAATTTTGTAATACATGTGGCACTTAATAGGGGAAGCTGAGTTATCTAAAGAGAAAAATCTAATATGTACAACAATGCATTCACTAACGAAGACGAATAAATGAGGTATTTAAGGGTTTTTTTTATTAGACATGTGACTTAAGAAAAATCCAACCTAAAAATGTAAGACAAACAATAAGCAACATTAAGAAGTTTAACGGTAAAAGTAACTTACAGAACACTGTACCTTAAATGAAAGTATACTCAAGAGGAAAAAGAATTTGCAATTATTTCTCTTTTAAGTTACTACTGGCATCTAAATCTCCCCAATGTCTTAAAAATTGTAGACACAACCTTCTTCTCCCTAATGAAAAATATAAAACATATTTATGTGAATTTAAAAACAGGCCAGGTGCAGTGGCTCACAACCTGTAATCCCAGCACTCTGGGAGGCCGAGGTGGGCTGATCACTTGAGGTCAGGAGTTGGAGACCAGCCTGGCCAACATGGTGAAACCCCGTCTCTACCAAAAATACAAAAAATTAGCTGGGCGTGGTGATGTGTACCTGCAGTCCCAGCTACTTGGGAGGCTGAGGCAGGACAATCACTTGAGCCTGGGAGACGGAGGTTGCAATGAGCTGAGATCGTGCCACTGCACTCCAACCTGGACCACAGAGAAGACTGTCTCAAAAAACAAACAAAAAACCAGGTATGCTGAATAGCAAGTATGTAGGTATCCACTGTAGTACTCCTAATATTTTTTCAAAGATGAGCATGATTTTATTATAGACAATTTAAAAATATGTGTATGTGTGTATAAATGTCAAAAAAAATCGGTATAAACCATTTCAAATCATGACAAGTGATTTAAGATTTTTAGCCACAGTATAAAGACCAAAATTTTATAAATAAAAGACTTGTATTTGAATGCTGACAGTCAAAATACAAACTCTGATGTGTTTTCGAAGGAAAATGAGGACAATAATATGTACCCTTCCTTAACAGGGCTCTCATGAGGATCAAACACCAGATGCAGTTACACAAAAGCATGCTAAAACTACAAAATGGTACACGGTTTTAGCAATTCTGTACCTGTATTCAAGGTGCAGTTTTGGAATAGCTGGAATTTTATTTCTATATAATTTTCTTTTTTCTTTTTTTTTTTTTTTTTTTTGAGACGGAGTTTCGCTCTGTCGCCCAGGCTGGAGTGCAGTGGTGCGATCTCGGCTCACTGCAAGCTCTGCCTCCCGGGTTCACGCCATTCTCCTGCCTCAGCCTCCCGTGTAGCTGGGACTACAGGCGCGCACCACCATGCCCGGCTAATTTTTGTATTTTTAGTAGAGACGGGGTTTCACCGTGTTAGCCAGGATGGTCTCGATCTCCTGACCTCGTGATCCGCCCGTCTCGGCCTCCCAAAGTGCTGGGATTACAGGCGTGAGCCACTGCGCCCGGCCTAATTTTCTTAACAAAACAGTAAAAGGTAAGGTAAAGTAGTAGTACTTTGAAGAGCAGTACTACTACTCTTCATACTCTTCATTAAAACATTAAAAATTATTAAAGTTAAAAAATGTAAACTTACAATGATTTTATTACGTCACATTTAATGTAATTTCAGCAAACAACTGTCATTCATGTTTAGCAAGATAAATACAGAATTGCTAAGCAGAAAGGAAATATCACATGGAAGATGAGTGGGAGGTGTACTTTTTTGAACCATGTGAATTTTTTAACCATATGCATTTATTATCTAGTCAAAATATGCAATAAGATTTAAAAAAATTAAGTCAATGCGAGTCTACGAGTAGACCACATTGTCAACATTATTTGTTGGGGTTTAGTGGATGACATTTTTCTCTTTATCTCCATTTTTGGCATAAGTTTGTGTGCAATAATAAAAAGATTTCAAAGCTTTAGGTTTTTTCAAGTAGCAAGTGATTAGTAGTGTACCTATAATGTAGGTGATTATACATTCTGTTAATCCTTACCCAAAAAAGGATAGGCAACATAAAAAATATATAAATCTACTAGTTGTCAACATTGGGTGAATAATCTATGTATGAATACCAGTTGAAACAAAATTACTGACAATTCAAAGAAAAACATGGAAAAGTACATTTTAAAATTTAATCAATTAGTTTACCATCAATATTACAGTCTATTTTCTTAACTTTGCAATTCTTATCTACCTGCTGCCTTGTCAGCACCCAAAATTCAACACTTCTAGATTAACAAATATTAAAAAGTTGGGAGGCTCACATGTATCTGTTTCAGAGTCTCCAATGTGACCTCCTCATTCTAGTCCTATCTCTCTGAGCCATGATGCACACTCACTAAAATTGAATTAACACCTGCAATATAGGATTTCCAATGAGTGGAAAGTCCACACTAAAATTTTAGTCATCTTTAAAAGCTTATACATATGAATAAAAGGCTGTAAAGCTCTTGCAGATTAAAAAATACTCTGTTTTCAAATCTTTTTTTTTTTTTTTTTTTTTTGAGATGGAGTCTCGCTCTGTCACCCAGTCTGGAGTGCAGTGGTGCGATCTCAGCTCACCGCAACCTTGCCTCCCGGGTTCAAGCAATTCTCCTGCCTCAGCCTCCCGAGTAGCTAGCACTGTAGGGATGGCCACTGCGCCTGGCTAACTTTTGTATTTTCAGTAGGGAAGGGTGAGTCAGCATGTTGGCCAGGCTGTCTTGAACTCCTGACCTCAAGTGATCCACTCCCCTTGGTCTCCCAAAGTTAAGGGATTACAGGCCTGAGCCACTGTGCCTGGCCTAAAATTTTTCATTTTTCATGTAAATTAAAGCTAATAAGGGCCAGTTTTTATTCTCTAACCAAGACCTTTTAAGTTAAATTGATCTTTAACTACACACACACACCCCTGCCCAAGGGTACAGTTCTACTTTCTACTAGTAGTAACTCTCCTTTTCCACTTTAATTTTGAGGAAAATTATTTACACAGCTGACCCTTGAACACAGGTTTGAAATGTGTGGGTCCACTTACATATATGGATTTTTTTTCAATAAAATTTTTCAGAGATTTCAACAATTTGAAAAAACCTGCAGATGAAACACATAGACTAGAAATATCAAAAAGTTAAGAAAAAGTTAGGTTTATGTCATGACTACATAAAATATATGTAGATTAGTCTGTTTTATCATTTACTGCCATAAAATATACACAAACCTATTATAAAAAGTTAAAATTCATCAAAACATATGCACACAAACCTTAAGACCAGACATAATACCACTTGTAGTCAAGATAAATGTAAACAAATGCAAAGATGCAGCATTAAATCATAGCTACCTAATATTAACTGTAGTACATACTATACTACTGTTAAAATCTCATAGCTAACTTCTGTTGCTACTGCAGTGAACTCCAGGGTTGCAAGAATCTGTTTAAAACACTGTGTGACACTAATCATCTCTGTATGATCAGCTCATCTCTCCAGTAAATTGTGTATTGCAATCAAAAGCTATCTCTCTCACGGCTCTTGTGTGTTTTTCTTTTCTTTTCTTTTTCTTTTCTTTTTTTTTGCGACAGAGTCTCCCTCTATCATCCAGGCTGGAGTGCAGTGGCACGATCTCGGCTCACTGCAACCTACGCCTTCTGGGAAAAAGCGATTCTCCTGCCTCAGCCTCCCGATTAGCTGGGATTACAGGCACGTGCCACCATGCCTGGCTAATTTTTTTATTTTTAATAGAGACAGGGTTTCACTGTGTTAGCCAGGATGGTCTCAATCTCCTGACCTCATGATCCGCCCGCCTCGGCCTCCCAAAGTGCTGGGATTACAGGCGTGAGCCACCGTGCCCGGCCCTCTTGTGTAGTTTTCATTGTGTCTAGTGCAATGCCGTAAACCTTAACACCATGAGACCCATATGAAGTGCCAACAGTGATGATGGAAGCGCTTTCAAAGAAAGAAGTCATAGACATTATAAGAATAAAGTGACTTGCTTGATATGTACAGTAGATAGGTACAGCTGTAGCTGCTGGCCATTTCAGACAGATGCTTCATCTTGTAAACAGCAACATAAATGTATGGTACCAATAAATACAGTACAGTACTGTAAATGTGTTTTCTCTTCCTTATGATTTTCTTGATACATGTTCTTTTCTCTAGTTTACTTTATTGTTAAGAATATACTATATAATACACATACAAAATATGTGTTATTGCCTGTTTATGTTGTGGGTAGGGCTTCTGGTCAACAGTGGGCTACATTATCGAACGGTCAACTGTATCCTTAACTTTTTTTCCTCAAATACAACTTTCAACAATTCTAGCTTTAGCTAAAAAACTTTAGCTAAACTAAAGAACTTCAGCCATTACTCTTTCAGCTCCTTTATGTTCACAGACCAGGAGGTAGACCTCAGAAGTATATTTAGTGTTCCTCCTAATATTCCTTCCAGCCCCCTTTCCTACAGCTTTGCCTATTTCAAACCCCTATCACTCAATAACTCTTCTGGTATACACTTTTTAAACTCTTGACCACAACGATTTTAGCACTTTGTTCTCCCAACCTCTCTCTTGATCCTGACCAACACATCACCTTCGATGAATTCAGCTCCTGCTTTACTGGGAACCCTGAGGTCATCCAATACAAACACTCAAAATTCCCTTCTCCCATCTTAAAATCTCCTTATACTTGACGTCTCTTCCTGTTCAACAAGTTTCTATTTTGGACAAGTGCTTTATTAATTATCTCCTATCTGGCATGTGCCTTTATTCTCTCCACTTGTCTCTAAATAATATGCTCAAGTAATCTTCATTCTTTATCCAAGGCTGGCAAACAACTGAAAGACCAAAAACCCACACTCTCCCTAGATTCTGTATCTCTCTCAAACTATTAGCCTCCCTCTCTATAAACAGCAAATCTTGAGACGCTCTTACTCCTTAATCCAGAGAAATTGATTATGAGGCTGATTTCTTTTTGAAGGGGAGGGGGGTGCCATGGTCTCACTCTGTCACCCAGGCTGGAGTGCAGTAGTGCAATCTTGGCTCACTGCAACCTTTGCCTCCCAGGTTCAACCCCCTCAGCCTCCCGAGTAGCTAGGAGTACAGGCGCCTAACACCAAGCCCTGCTTGCTTGCTTGTTTATTTATTCATTTATTTATTTATTAAGGAGGAACGAGGGTTTTGCCATGTTGCCTAGGCTGGTCTCAACTCCTGGACTCAAGAAATCTGCCTTGGCCTCCCAAAGTGTTACGATTACAGGGATGAGCCACCATGCCCAGCCGAGGCTGATTTCTTAATGGTCATTAATGCTTTGTCAACAACTAATTTCCTGCTGTTTTCACAATCCCATCCTGGCTGCTGGCTGATCTTTTTTTTATTTTTTTTTTAAACATTTCACTGAAAACTTTTTATTACCCTTTTGGGTAGAAATGAGAATTTATTTGCCAGGAAGGATGATCCCATCATACTTCTGCTGGAACCAGCGCATGGCCTCCTCTTTGCTGATTCTATTTGGCACCAATGAAGCCTGTCCCGCACTTCTTACCTGCAATGATGAAACCTGGCTTTTCCAGCACCACATAGAAGTCCAGGCTGTAGACATCAATGCTTGGGTCATATCTGATACCCAGATCAATGTGTTCCTGGGTCCCAAAACCAAAGTTTCCAGTATCTGAGAAGTTATTTTTTCTTAACTCACACTCCTGCACCTTTAGATCATTCTCCAGGATTTCGTCTGCCTTGGCCCCTCGAACTGTGCAGCAGACAACAGTCTTTTCATTTCTTCTGTTGCCAAAGGCGCTAACAGTATATCTAGCTTTGGAAAACACCTGGTTCTGACCTGTAAGCTGTTCCAAGACCTTAGTTACTCAGGTCAGTCTGTCTCCACTTTCTCCTAAACAGATGTTGAAGCGGAGCCTGCAGATGCAAAATTCCTGCATGGGGTTATCCTTTTCACCTTGATCCTGCACCACGATGGAGAACAGGAAGAGCCTGGCTGATCTTTCTGCAATCATTCTGAAACTTCCCTGCTTCTGTCATAGGACTTACTCTCTCAAGGTTTCTTTCAACCCTTATTGGTTGTCTCTTCTCTTGTCCCTAAATATAGGCCTATCTCAAAAAGAGTTTCCCCTCTGTCAAACCAATCTATTCCAGTGCTTTACCAATTTTACACAATAACTCCAAAACTTATCTCCTTTAACATGACTTTATTCCCAACTGCCAGTGCAGAATTCCAACATCTGGCTGGAATTTCTACCTGGTAATCTCAGAAATACTGAAAACACACATTTCCAAAAACCGAAGCTTTTTAACGTGGAAAACTTCCTTTATTTCCATCAATGATATTCAATTATTTTCTCCAGCACTCGATGGCCTTCTAATAACTAACACCATCGTCACTTATTGAGCCCACACTATATTCTTTGTATTGTTCTAAATGTCTTTAGAAATACATAATTTAATACTCATAAAACCATGTAAGGTAGGTACTATTGGTAAACCATTTTATAGATGAGGTGAAGTAATGGAACTAGATATAATCTTCATAAGTAATGGAACTAGATATAATCCCAGCACTCAAACTCCACAGCTTCTAGTCAACTACTATATGATCCTCCCATCTTCTTTCTGCTTGAGGAATGAAACACAGCTGAGAGACAGCAGTAATATAATAGGGTTACAGAAAAGAGAAGTGAGGGAACTCCAGCACTATGGCAAAGGCCCAGGCAGCAGAGTGGAGCTAAGAGACACAGTCAGCCTATTAACTACCTGGCACATACATACATGCATACACACTAATGGTACACAATAAAATGACAGACAAATCATAGATTAAGTTCATTTAGTATACTCATCTTTGATTCCTACGCATCTATTCAGTTGCCAAAATCCAGATCTTGATTCTGAAATACTACTCAAAATGTCAGTTTCAGTTTTCTGTGGCCTATTTCAGTTTCTTCCTGCAATTTTGCCATAGCCAACTGATTTATCACCCTTTATCCATTCTGTAATCTATCCTTTATACCACTCTCAGATTAGTTTTTTAAAAGTTAAGATTAATCCAATTACCAATTAATTCAAAATGTTAAATGGTAATCTACCCAAATAAGAGCAATATTTATCACACACTGTAATTCAATCACAGCATAAAAATACAGCTCCAACCTCTGTTTCCACTCTTACCTCTCACAATTCCCTTGAATGTACTCTTACTTTGGCCAAATAGAAGTATTTAATTTTCCCTAAATTGTACCTTCTGGTTTTCTCTCTTTTTAAATATATGCTACCTTTATCAGATTAAGGTATAAGGGCTACATAAGCAGCCACCTGTGAAGTCTCACATATTTTTCTAACACCTGGTCCAATTTAGATAACATAATTACTTGATACTTCAAGGTGTGATAACCAGCCACCTGAAATGCAATTTAAACCAGGTATTTCTTGAGGGCTCCTAGACATTTTCATTATTGCAGGGTCTATTCAGATTTTGTCTCTCCTCAAAGCATTTACAATGATATATTCACTGAAAATTGCCCACTTCTCACTGAAATTTCCAAAATGATTAGCACAGACCTGAATATAATTTTTAACATCACCTCCACACTTTAGTTTTATCTCCTTTCTCATACTTAATGTCTCACTTTTAGTTTCCCTCTTTTCTTTTATCCTTGACTGGCTTTTAAAAATATGTATTGATTTTATTGGCATTTTCATGCAATCAGTATTTAGATTAGTTCAAATGGTTTACTGTTTCCTAATTCATTAACATTTTTGCCTTTATAAATCTCTAGTTATTAATCTTTAGTTCTAAATTTACATTTCCTCATTGAATCAAAAATTATTTAAAACATGATTTTATATTTCCATATAAATTTAAACATTTTTAAAAATCTCCAGTTCTAATGAATTGTAATCAAGGAATGGGACTTACATATTTTTATTTTTGAGTGAGATTTTGTTTTGCAGTTGATCTAATTAGTAAGACTGGTAATTGTTTTGTCAATGACAGAAAAAAAGAAATATATTTCATTATTTTATTATTAAAGCCACCTATATATATATATATACAGTTATGTGTTGCTTAAGAGAAACTGTATCTGGATGATTTCATCACTGTGTCATAAAATATACTTACACAAGCCTAGATGGTATAGTTCACTACACACCCAGGCTATATGATACAGCTCCTATGCTACAAACTTGTACAGTAAGTTACTGTATTCAATATCATAGGCAACTGTAACACAATGTTATTTGTGTATCTAAAAGACAGAAAAGGTTCAGTAAAAATGGTATAAAGGATATAAAAATTGTACACCTGTATAGGGCACTTACCACGAATGGAGCTTACAGGATTGGAAGCTGCTCTGGGTGAGTCAGTGGGTGAGTGGTGAGTTAATGTGAAGGCCTAGGATATTACTGTAAACTACTGTAGATTTTATAAACATGCTACTCTAAATCTGTTTAAAAATTTTTTCTTTCTTCAGTAAATTAACCTTAGCATTTTATAACTTTTTCACTTTATAAATATAAAAAAATTTAACTCTGACTCTTTTGTAACATTTAACTTAAAACAAAAACATATTACACAGCTACACAAAAACATTTTTTCTTTGTATCCTTATTAAGATTTTTTCTATTTTTAAATTTATTTTTTTTTTTTACTTTTTAAACTCTTGTTAAAAACTAATAAATACATACTTTAGCCTTGGCCTCTACAAGGTCAGGATCATCAATATCACTGTCTTCCACCTATACATCTTGTCCCACTGGAAGGTCTTAAGGGGCAATAACATCCATGGAGCTGCCATCTCCTATGACAATAATGCCTTTATCTGGAATACCTCCTGTAGGATCTGCCTAAAGATTATTTTATAGTTAACATTTTTTAATAAGCAGAAGCACATGCTAAAATAATAGTACTGTAAACACGTAAACTAGTAACATATTCGTTTATCATTATAAAGTATTATGTGCTGAACATAACTGTGCTATGCTTTTATACAACTGACAGTACAGTAAGTTTGCTTACACCAGCATTACCACAAACATGTGAGTGATACATTGCATTGCAACGGCTTCAACATCACTAGGTGATAGAAGCTTTTTAGCTCCATTATAATTTTATAGGACCATTGTCGTATACCAGGTCAGGTGTTGACTCAAACATCATTATGTGGTACATGACTGTACCTTCTTACTTCGTGCCTTTTGAAGTACATTAAGGATTCCTATCATTGCTTTTCTACCAATTATTCTTCATTTCTTTCAGCTTTTACTTAATACATTTTGATGTTTAGCACATTCGTTCATAACTGTTAAGTCTTTACCTGGAGTGTACCCTGTGTTGATGTAAAATGACATTTTTGATCCAGTTTAATGCTTTTTGCTTTAAATGCTACCCTGATACTGAGATTCTGTCATCTGCTTTTGAAATTGAAATTTGCCTGATGTATCTCTAATCCACCATTTATTTTTAACCTTAGTTGTTTTATGTAAATCTCTTGTGATTAATCTCTTAAAAAACAGACTTCAAAGTACAGATTATGTACATCTTTCAGACCTAAAATACTGCCATACTACTACCAGAACAGAATACTACTTTAATATCACAGCACAAGATATGTAATGTTTTGTTCATATTCTATGCATCAATATTTATCAATATTCCGATCATCTCCTAAGAAGATGAATCACGAATTCACAATCTACACTCCTCAGTTAAAAAAGTAATTTTCTATTTCAATAAACTTTCCACTGGCACTGCTAAACTTAGAAATAATGTAGATTTTTCAACATAATAGTGTTTGCTTGAAGCTCGGAAATCTATGTTTCAGGATGATCACAATAAGATTACTACAGGAAAGCAATTCAACAAAGGAAGAAATATGATTATTATTACAATGACAACATATAGCAGTAGTTATTGTATATTAAGGTACTTGCCAACATTTTATATATCTTTAACACTACCATAACTTTACAAGATAGATATTATTGTCTCTATTTTTAGGATCAGAAAACAGTCCGACTGCACGTAATTATCTCATTCAAAACCAGGATCTGGACCTCAATGTGAATATAAGGGTAAAACTTGTACTCAGCTGTCCTGGGTTTTACTAATAGCATGTATATAAACTACGTGATTTGAATGAAGTCACAACTTCATTGAGTTCTTATTTTTCCTGTCTACGAAGAATCTCTAAAGTTTAGGGTGTTACACAGTATTTCACTTCTATGAAACTAATTATTGAGAACAAATGTGAAGCAGACAACTGATATTTTTTTCTCTTTCCAACATTCTTTCCCCTCCTTGATTTTTCTTTGGAAAACTATTATTATCCCTGTGTGGCAGGCTCTACACTTCAGCTTTAGATACATGCCCCAGAGAATTCCATTCCCTGGACAGAATATTTGGTTCAGGAATAATAGGCATGTGCCTCAATCCAGGGAAATCAGAACTCACCCTACAAATTTTTGCTCAAATTGTAGCTCTCTTCTCATCATAGTTGCTAAAGTAGGTAGAATGCAAACCTGAAGCTATTAGGAACTATATCTTGCCACTACTTGTGAGAGCCTGTTTGAAAATAACATATATACAGAAGAGAGAAAAGAGGAGGAGGGTAAGGGAGGGAGAGAGAATAAGAGAGATACTCTTGAGATCTGTTGAGCACCTAGATCCAGGCCAGAGCTTTTAGGTTATGTAAGTCAAAAAATGTCTCCTTTTATTTAAGCTACTTTGAGTTGGGTTTTTCTTATTTAAAACTGAAAAAGTCCTCATATGTCATAAAGGAGTTGCTTTTTATTTTTCTAAGTTTCTATTTCTACTTTAGGATTCAAAATAATAAAGAAAAATAATTTGGACTGCAGAACATAGTTTCGTAGAAAAAAATACCAGGTTTAAGGTTAGAAGATGGGGTTTTTATTATTACACAAAGAGATTATATGACTTAGGACAGGTTGATCTTTGCAGATCTGTTCGTTTTGTGAAACAAGGTCTCGATCTGTTGCCTATCTGAAGTGTAGAGCCTGCCACACAGGGAGGCTCTAGGCTAGAGTGCTGTGGTGTGATCATGGCTCACTGCAGCCTCAACCTCCCAGGCTCTGGCAATCCTCCCACCTCAGCCTCCCAAGCAGCTGGAACTACAGGCACGTGACACCATGCCCGGCTATTTTTTAAATATTTTTTTGTAGAGACAGCCTCTCACTATGTTGCCCAAGCTGGTCTTGAACTCCTGGGCTCAAGCAATCTTCCCGCTTGAGTCTCCCAAAGTGCTGGGAATATAGGTATGAGCCACCGTGCCCAACCCTGCAAATCTGTTTTATCATCTATGTTAGAATGGGTTTGAATTAAATAATTGCTAAGATCCTTCAAGGTATGAAAGTTCTACAATTTTACTGTATTATATAACAGCCTTAAATAATGTGTATCATAGTAACATGGTTTGGCCCAGGAAAATTCAAATGTTAAGAAAAATAAGAACGCCACATTGGAAGATTTTTAAAAAGACAGTAATTATAGTTTGTTTTAAATAAAGAGGAAGTAAGAAAATTTCATTAGGTTATAACATGTAGAAATTTAGTAAACAGGCTAGAAAAAATAACCTGATTTAAGATTAGGTCATGAAAATTCATTCCCCAGAGAAACCAAACATTTTCCTTGAGATCATTTAAAGATACAACTATTATTTCTAGAAGATTTGTCTTTATTAAGAATAAGCTCAATGAACTCATGTACACAAGAGTTCCTAACATAGAGAAACTTTAATAATTTATTTAAAAACAAAAAGAAAATTAAAAGCAGCTCAAACTTTTTCCCTAAAAGTTTAACCAAAGAAAAAATAAGAGGCCAGGCACAGTGACTCATGCCTGTAATCTCAGCACTTTGGGAGGCCGAGGTGGGCGGATCACTTGAGGTCAAGAGTTCAAGACCAGTCTGGCCAACATGGCGAAACCCCATCTCTACTAAAAATACAAAAATTAGCCAGGCGTGGGGGCAGGCGCCTGTAATCCCAGCTGCTCGGGAGGCTGAGGCAGGAGAATCGCTTGAACTCAGGAGGTAGAGGTTGCAGTGAGCTGAGATGTTGCCACTGCACTCCAGCCTGGGTGATTGAGTGAGACTGTCTCAAACAAAAAAACAAAACAAACAAGCAAAAAAAAAAAAAAAAAAAAAAAACAAAAAAAGGGAAATAAATATGAATGTTTACTTTATGTGCCATCATTCTGGAACACAGCTGGGGGTATGCATGGGACAGGGAGAAGGCAAGGGAGAGGGAAACAGCAGTAGTGTTTCTAAGTAACTTTGTCATGTAAAAGGAGTTTACCTCTTTAAACTCAAATTTTGGAAGTCCTTTCAAAAATACATACTTACTAGCATTCTCAGGATGTTTTAACTCTTTCTTCATAGTTTAAACATGTGAGTTATCTAATATTGAAACTTAAGTGCAGATGCAGATAGTGTGGAGCACAGGACTAGATGAGAACCAACCCTAGAAGTTGCCCTGTGGCATGCTTTCTTGGAAGAAAAAAATCACCAACAGCTTACTTTTGAATAATCTTCACATGTTCATAAAGCAAAAGTGTCAAATATACAAATGAATGACTCCTAAGGAAGTGTAACACAATTATCTTCTTGTAAATTAGTGAATAAGACAGAAGGAGGCTTCCTTCCCTTAAGCGGTTACCTCACTCTCAGAACATTTTTCTTTATAATAACTATCAGTTGTCTGACTTCTCTGCAACACTGAAAACCCAAAGTATTATTTGGGCATTACTAACCTAATGCGTTATTTTATGGTCAACTTGTACCCACCACTCTGCCATCTAATTTGCACCATGTCTGCTGAGGATATGTCAAGACTCTGAGCCAGATTATTTTGAAGAGACCTCTGCAAAGTCTACAAATTCTTTACCAAAATATGACTGCCTCATCTCCCTTCAAAAAAGAAAGGGGGAAAAAAGATTCTTCTTCTATATAAATGTCACTAGAACATAATTTTCTCCAGCTTCTTAATGTTTGTCTATAATTAAAATTAAGGATATAAGCAAAATAACATTAAAGATAATTCTAATAAAGTTAACCCCATACAAACTGAAAAGTAGATAAAATGCATGTATCTCCTATAATGGTGATTCACAATTACAAAAATGCAAATCCACAGGCTCAATCTACAAGGAAATACTGACAAGAAGAGAATAAACCTATTATGAGATATTCCAAGAATAAAACTACTTTAGATAATCAACTACATTTATTATAAGATAGTTACTCCTCAGGAAGAATTCCACAGTTGTATAACAACAGCTTTACCATGCTTAGCTAAGTTTTCTTATGATGAAATTAGTTATTCATAAAAGATTAAAAATTATTTCACCAGTATTCTAACCAACAGGCAAACAAGTGGTATCTTTGAAAGTTTTAAAACAATTACATTTCAAGTATTTTACAGAAGCCTGCAGTATTATATTTCCAAGACCAACAACCTCAATCTGTCCAAATTCCCTTTAAGTCAGGAGTCATTAAATGCTTTAGCATTTGTAAGGAAGCATTTGTAAGGAAAGGTATAAGCTGAGGAGCCTTTCAAAATAAGACCAATTTTATCAGCATTTCATAACCTTGCAGGAAAGCCTGAGCCTATACAGAGATTAATTATTTTGAACAGTCTCAAAATTCTTTTGCAGTTCCAGGATTTGTGGACTTGATAGTATAGAAAGAAATTTAACAGTGTATCAGAGGACTCAAATTTTCCTCTGAATGCTAATATTAACTGGATAATATTGATCACAACACTTCCCCTTCCTGTGCCTGTTTGATCATCTATAAGAAACATTCCTGGAAGAAAAAAAAAAAAAAACCTACCACTGACTTTAATCCGTATCTAGTTTTCTAATGCTGTTTCAACCTAAACACAAATGCTACTGTTCAGTAAAATATGGTCAACCAACAGCATCTGCTCCATTTTTTTTGCCTTTTTAAATAAACACAGGGATAAAGAAGGTAAGAACACGAGGATACTCCTTTAGATTCTGTGAATAATTCATCCGAAATATGGTCTAAGTATATTAATTAAGCATGAGCCAAGTATAGTAGATTTCAGTTATTTATTTTGACTCCAAGACACAAAAAGCAATCAATTTCAGTGAAATTACTTAACTCTGAGTCTTAATATTATGTAACAGCTAAATATAACAATTTTAATATCTACATTCTTAACACTGTATGTACAGATCTCCATTTTCTATTAACTATTAGCCCATCAATCTCTTTTCACTTGGGGGATATTCCAACCTATGCAAGGATGGAGAATATACAGCTACTAGAGCAGTTCTACTGATGAAGTAAATACTATTACATTTTACCACATGATATTATAAACTTTGCATTTTATTTTCATAACACTATTCTTGCTATCTTTCATTCTGGCCCTATTTCACAACACCCTACAGGACTTACGATTTCATCAAATAGTCTCCCCTCACCTCTGAAGAGAAACAGAATTGATAGTATTACCAGACTGTAATGACTAGAATATCTTCCCATTGGCAAATTTAAAATATGTCCTTACTTTTTGATTATGGAGCCTTCTCTTGGATTTAATTTGGACTGGAAACAGAAAATAAAATACAATAAAGTTTAAATGCCCTTGGGTTTTACTTTTATCCCTGAACATGATGACATGGACTATCCCAAGTCCTTCTTAAATGGCAAGTTCTCATCATCAGCAGAGCACAGCCAACTATTCTGAAGAAGCAGATACATCAGACAGGGTATGTATGCATATGTGTGTGGGTGAGAGTGTATAAGAAGGAGGAAAGAGGGAGAAAAAGAGACCACATGTGAGAGCACAGTTAAGTTGGAAAAGCCTAGACCATTACAAAAACTATTTGTTCCAATTAAAAATCATTGATTAAATCATCCTACTAGGATATTGATTGTAATGCTAAACAAACAAAAAGTCACACAGTTGAACAGTGAAGGCAAGTATCTTAGAAAGAGTCAAATATACTTGTAGCATGAAGAAGAATAAGACTGTTGCAATACCTCTATCAAATACTTTTCTCCATTCCAAAAAAAACCCTGACATTAAAAAAACAATAATAAAGTAGGTCACAAAAAGATTGGAAGTACCACCTTTCTTCAGATATGATTTCTCAGTATAGCCGGCTACAAGTTTTCATCAAATGCAAGCATGGTGACACAATCAAGGAAACATTCCCATTTTGGAATCTTTTTGGAAGCTTCAGAAAACATTAACACTTTCAAAATGGTAAAGTTTCTTTACCAAAAAACTTCTCCTGAAGAAACCTCAGTATTCTGTAGGCAGACAGTACACCTTACTGCCAGACAACACATCTGATATTGGGGCACTGGTAAAGACAGAAGCTCTCCATGTCATGGTCACCCACTGCTCTCTTCATCAGTATGCGCTAGGGTGCAAGACTGTCATCAATCCTGAAAGAAATCTTATCTCTTGTTGTGAAAGTATTCTACTGTTTCAAGTGCCAACCCTTGAATAATTCCCTGTGTAAGATGATTTGTCATGAAAAATCCACTATTGTGAAAGCTGCCAGATTCATGAAAGCCAAGACTTTCAATCAAGAGCTTCTCGAGAGGTTTTGTCAAGAAATGGGAGCACTATGAAGTTCTTTGCTATATATAAGTTCCCTGCTTTCAGAAGACAAATTCTACAGCCTGATACTGCTGTTTACAGGATAACATACACTCTTTTTAAACAGTTTAACTCTTCAACCTTGAAAGTAAAATGTGGAGTCATAATCTTTTCTTTCCTAACACAGCATTAATGATACAGATCTTGCCAAAAATGATCTCAGTAACTTGAAGGCAAAGAAAATGATGAAACATGAATTTATCTGAAGAGCCTTGGAGAATTCTTATTTCTTGACACGTCTACTTTCATCAGGCAATAGAATCTACAGATTCCATTTACTCTTCTTTCTTTTGTAAAATAGCATTTTCAGCACTTTTTACCAAAGTCAACACTGATTGGATATCAAAGATCATATAAAAGTTGCAAAGTCAAAGTCAAAGAGCATAGTTTCAACTTGTTATTTTAAAAGTTAAATAGCAGTCTTTTCATTAAAATTTAGTATTGAACAGAACTAAAGCTTAATTTTGGTTAATTTGTACCACTTAGATTTATTCATTGCTCTCATGTAGTAGCCACTGGTTTTTGCATAAAAAAGTGACATAGTTTTCATGAAGGTTCTTTTACATTCTGTCTAAAAGAATATATTTCAATGTAATAAAAACTGCAAAATTTTATGTACACTATGCACATTTTTTGAGGGGAGAACATTTATACCTTCCATCAGACTTTAAAAGGAATGTAACACAATTTAAGACCCCCTGGCTTAAATCTAGTGTTCTGCGCCTCCACATTACAAAATTTTTCTATTTTATTACAAAAAATTTTTTACCTTTTTTTCCACTACCAAAATATATGCTGCTCATCAACTCTGTTTTAAATTTCTACCATCGCTTTTGCTACTGCATTTTTTTTTTTTTTTGAGATGGAGTCTCCCTCTATCACCAGGCTGGAGTGCAGTGGCACAGTCTCGGCTCACTGCAACCTCCACCTCCCGGGTTCAAGCGATTCTCCTGCCTCAGCATCCTGAGTAGCTGGGATTACAGGCACGCGCCACCACACCCAGCTAATTTTTGTATTTTTAGTAGAGATGAGGTTTCACCATGTTGGTTGGCCAGGATGGTCTCGATCTCTTGACCTTGTGATCCGCCCGCCTCGGCCTCCCAAAGTACTGGGATTACAGGCGTGAGCCGCTGTGCCCAGCCTGCATTTTTAATCAGTAAAAGCAATTGTTTCCCTGCAGATGATAATGGGATAAATCAAAGTAAAAATCTTTAGATCCTCAGCTCTATAATTCATGCCAGTGCTATCATTCCAAGGTGCAAACAATATGCAGAAATGTAAGGCAATCTACCATAATCTTCAACATTCACCAAAATTATGCACTAATGTAAGATTCAATTTTGTAAACTATCAACAATAAACAGTATTTCGGCATCCTTATATATAATGCAAAAAAAGTCACAAAGGATAGGAAACAAGATATAAGAGGGGGTAAAGGAACAAGGAATCTATGCAATTACACAGCTTTAAATGATTAATACGATCATTCTATTTCTGTTTTACAGCTGAATTAAGAAGAAATTAGATTAACATGAAGGAGAACTCTCTAAATGAGTTTTTCTATCTATCTGGAGGGGCTTAGGCTTTGTCCTTCTTAGAGATGGAAAAATGTACAAAATCTCTTTGCATTAAATTTTAACATGTTTTGCCATACTTACCACCCAAAGAAATATATCAACAGCAAAATTAAATCACTGTAAAAGTTCTCCCAAGAGTTTTCTTTTTTCTTTCAGATGTACTATAAGAATTAAATTTGTCACTGATTTTTCAATATAGTCCTTAGTTTTCTGATCAAAGAATCGAGAATCTTCTATTAATCTAACTACATTTATGAATATTCTTATAAAAGAATAATTTTTATGGATTATAAAAGTTCACACTTTACTAGGTAATGGTATTTTATCCAAAGGCATTCTATGCTCAAACAAGCTTCAGAAATATAAAGCTTATTTTTGATTAATATGCTTTTTAAAAATGTTATTTTAGAAGAATTTTGTGAGACCAAATCTGCAATACAGTTAATGGGTAACATGTGCTAGTATGATATGAAAATGGTAGCGTGAACAGAAAAATGAAATCAATCAGTCATTTCTCATATAGAAATTGAGGCAGCAACTGATTTAAAAATTTAGAAGAAATAAGGATTAGCAACTATCTTTAAAACCTGTTTTCCAGGGACTGAGGGTGGGGAGGGAGGAACACAAGATGAACAAGATCTGAAGCTCTACTGGACAGCATAGTGACTATAGTTAATAATAACATTGTATAATTGAAAATTGTAGCTTGTAGATCTTAAATGCTTTCACCCTGGGGGGAGAATAATAATTATGTGAGGTGATGAATATGTTAAGTAGTTTGACTGTAGTAATCATTTCACAATGTATATACACATACATCAAAACATCATATTATACATTGTATTTATATATAATTTTTACTTGTCAATTACACCTCAATAAAACTGAAGGAAAAAAAGAAACCCAAAATCTGTTTTCCAATAAATTCTCAGATCCAGGAAGAGGAAAGGAAAAACATCAAAAAATAACTTACCTTTTTGTCTCTGGTCCTTACTTCCCCATAGAAATCTAGGGCCTCTTGTGCCTTTAAAAATTTGCCCCGATGTAATAAATATGCACATATCATTACACCAGTTCGTCCCTTTCCAGCTTTACAGTGAATTGCTGCAACATGATTGTCATCTTCACTTAGCCATTGGTCAAGATCTTCACAAAAGGGTTTGATAAGTTCTAGCTGTGGTGGGTTATGGTCTTCAAAAGGATATTGTGCAACTGTGGTAAAAAGATAACCTCAGAATAAGAAAAAAAAACTCTTGAATTTTTAATTAACAAGTAGGTAACTTTAGAAATGTTGCATACAAACTTAACAGGTATTTAAAAGAAACACTGGATTCCAGAGAAAAATAATGTATTGCTTAACTTTCTAATTGTTAAATAGAAAATAGTCTCTTGATAAGTCTTAAATATAATCATTAAGGAAGCCAGGTATTATTTTCCCCCATTTTATTCAGGAGGATATATTCTGGGAATTTACGCTATACGGACTGGTAGCATAGGTCACATATTAGAGGTAGAGCTAAACCCAAAATGAACTGTCACATGGACATTTCGTCAGGACTCTCAATGCAAAAGGAATAATACTATTTATAGTATTTATTTCATCATCACAAAACATATTCCAAAGACAGAATAGATTACTAATAGGATAAACTATGCAAAGAACTACATATTACATTTCATAAAATAAAAATGCTAAGTGTGTTATTTAAAGGTGGTCTTGCAAATGTTAGTGTTGTATACACATGTAATCATTAGGGAAGCCAAGTATTATTTTCCTCCATTTTCTGCAGGAGAATACATTCTGGGAATCTATGCTCAATGGACTGCAGCATAGGTCACATACCAGAGATATGTGAAGGCATACACCAAAGAAATTACTCACAAAATGTATATAATTGTTATCAAAGTTTCAGGTCTTCTCACATGAATTGTAAGAGTCCAAGACTTCTCTGTTCACTATAGTCAGAGTTGAGGTTTTTAAAAAAACTTGTTTAGAAACAGGACTATAGATATATCACTATTAATTGCTCTTAATAGTTTCTACCTTAGTTCCACTCTATTAAGATCCTTAAAAACCCTGGCTGATATTCAATGTACTAACCTGTGTCATCTAAATATGTGAGAAGTATGTCTTATATCTCCAATCAGGTGACTCATAATATGGTACAGGATATAATCAATTATCCTTTGGTGTGACAGGAGAGATCTTCTGGTAGACAATGACTATCATTATAAGGAGTCAGCAGGACAGCTTTCACTTAGTCATCTGCCTAACTTCATTTTCCCAGTGGTACACAAAAACCTCCAGGAAAATCTGTTAAATATCTGTTTAAAGCAAGATAAACCTCAACTAAAGCCTGCTTTGCTTAGTAAGCAACAGCCTAAATCCACCAAAAACAAAAACAAAAAAAACCCGTTCTTAGTAAACCTATACTAAATCTCAATCATTAGTGATTTAGAATTTTCAAACCATTTGTCTGAAAGTCCATTCTAGATTTTCAGGAGGGATCAATGGCAAATACATCAATAGTAGCTCATGGCACCCACTTTCTTTTTGACTATCACAGCAGCATCTGCCAAGCTTCTCAACTCTTCAGTTTTCTCATGGTTTAAAGTGTTAAGCCATGAGAACTGAGTTGTATTTCACAAATAAAAGTGAAAGTTTTTGTGGGCTCTGAGAATTAACTTATGTCTGAAGTAGAAACTCATTTAAAGCAGTTCCCTCCTCTCATCCATCAGACTCCTCTTATCAACATTTGTTATATCCTTTCCTACCTTTTATGTCATTCCTCAACACAGAAGAGTTAAGTAGTTCTGCTTTCTCCCTGTGATTGCTTACTATTAGACCAACTGCCTCAAATAGTAGGTAAACCCTCTCCTTATACTATTTTTAGTCTAGGAATTTTCCTAATTCTTAGTCTATGCTGCACTTTAGTCTTCCTGACAATATTAATAGCTTTATGCAATACTTTTTCCTAAAACACAACAGTAAAATTAAAATTTTTGAAATTTTTAAAGATAATTCTTAAATATGTATCTCACTCGATAATCTGGATGACTCATTATTGTTATGACAGTAAGATACAGTCTATCGGGTTTAAGTTATACAACATAGTACAGTACATTCATACCTACCTCTGCAATTAAATTTGGCGGTGTCATAATGTCTTTCAGCACAACTAAAAGAAAAGTTTAAAAGTGATATAAAGTTATCTTTTGCACTTAGGAAGAAAAAAAAGTACTAATACTAACAAACATTGCCTGAATCTTTATAATGTGACACATATTATGCTGTGTTTAACATTAATTATTTCATGTAATAACAAGAATTCTATTAAGTAGATACTGTTATCACCCCCATATTATAATAATAAAACCAAAGCTTAAAAGATTAAGTGTATGCAATTAGAGCTAATACATTTGCTTAAAAACTTGTGATGCCACTAATACAGAGTACTGTAAATTCAGGTGCTTCCATGCTTTCAAATTTCCTCTATGAAAAATCTGCATGCTATTGGAATATATTTTTAATTTTACAAGTACCTATAAACAACTGACTAGTTTCAATAGTATCTGTATCTCATAGTTAAGCATACATAATTCTCAAACTATTCTTCAAAAAGATATATGTTAAAAATAGTAAAAGCATAAGGACAGTAAAGAAAAACTGAATGTTGTTAATCTACTTGGCCAAATGCTTACTAATTTTTTTTTAAACCAGACCTTACTCCCTGTTGAAAAGCCAACGATCACCTTTTTCAACAGTCTCTCAGATTGCAAGTTTTAATTACAGTATGAGAGTAATGAAAGAATAAGTAAAATCAATACAGAATAGTAAAATGCTGACTTGTCATTACTAGAGTATGCTAATATTTGTCTTAATAGCAGTGATATGTTAGTATGTACTGGCTTTCTAATGATTAACAGGCCATGTTTACAAACAATAAAAGGCTCAGAAAGAGATCTTACATATCAGTGTGGTTAGCAGTACCCTGGTAACTCCAACTACTATGCAAAACAAATTTTTTAAAAATTACTTAAAATAAACTCTTAGCATTTTAAAACAAATAAAGGTCCATAGCTCCTTAACCTGCAATTTCAATATCCCAAAAGTTCAAAACATCTAAAATTTTCTCTTAAGTTTTATGGCAAACTCAACTACAGCAAATCCTGATCTGAAGTAATAAGATTGTACATAATATTTAATACACTTAGAGCGAAGAGTAAAACATTTCATTTCAGGTACTGACCCACACCCCACTGGGGTGTTTATGTAAAAGTATATTTATCTGTGCTACCTTTTGAAAACTAAAATTTCTGAAAATGGAAACATACTTGGCCCCAAGAGTTTCAAATAAGTGATTGTGAACCTGTATTGTACATTTAGAAACCCTGAAAAACATCTATATAGTTTCTTCTCTACCTTAAAGGTAATTCAAAACCAAATTCACATGAAGGTTTAACTAATTATAAATAAACTACAATCCATTGGTTTCTAACTGGTCAGACCTAAAATAAAACAACTTTCATACTACCACTCAAAACAAAACAAGCTTTTCCTTTTTAGTACAATTTAGTATATTGAGTTTTTCTAGAAAGAAAATGCATTTAGTAATGACATATGCACATATATGCATCCTTGCTAGTAATTTCATACCCACTGACATGAAAAACAGGAAAAAGAGGACTGACAAGACAGTCACATTTTACACTTTCTTTGGTACTTTTAAGATAAAAGGGGAGAAATTGTCAATAGTGAAGAATTCATAATGGAATATTTTATAAGGAATCAGAGATGTAGGACTAGGAAACACAATCTAAGAAGCTGGTCTCAGGACAACACAACAGAAAATAAACATTAGTTTTGTGCAGCTTCAGTTCTCTAAACTTCCCCTACTTTCTCAGGATCCCAGAACATGTGGTTTGACGAACACTCCTTAAGACTGCTTTAATAAAAATGCCTCTCAAATATTACTGTTAAGAGGACTATATGGACGGAAAGTGGAAGTAATGACTACTAAGTGTCAACCAGATGAACACACCTTACAAAGAGTTTCCACTTTTTTTTGTTTCATCCTCACAATCACGTGATAACTGTTATTATCTCCATTTTATATATGAGAAAGCTAAGACTTAAGAGCATTAAAAAACTTGCCCCAAATAACAGTATACAAATGAAAGAGCCAGAACTCAAGCTCAGTATCTCTGATTACAAAAGTCAAACTTTTTCTACTACTGTTCCATAATTCTACTTATAATAAAAAAAAAGTTTTAAATACAAAAGCAGTAACAAATTTCAGTCAAAGCCAGCATTCCTACAAGAGCAGTATCTGTCATAAATCACAGAACCAACAGTGACAGTAAAAAGCAAGGAAAAAGTTATGAAAATCTTCACAGGTAAGCATAGGAAATATGGGAGCAAATATGCTGGGACTAGTAATGATAAATATGCTCAGGGAATGGGGGTTGGTAGGATAAGGATGAAGACTTTCTTCTTAAATTAAAATCTCTGATAAATGCCCTCCTTCCACCTATACCTACTGACAGTTTCTTTTAAATTCTTTGTGGTTTGGTAGTGATAAGTCTCTCAACAAACTAAAATTAAAGATACACAAATGGCAAATGGGGTTTAGCCATTTAAATTTAACCATTTATGCTTCCTTATAACTAAAACTCAAAAGATACCAGTACCTCATATTGGTTTATATGAGACAAGAGAAATGAATAAGCATTTAAAGAATGAGTTTTTATGAAACAAGAGGCAGAAACTGAAGGAATAAGATTAACAGGAAAAGCTTCCAGAGAAGTGAGATTTGCCATAGAATCAGCTAGGTAGGCAGGTCTCTTCTTTACTCTCTTTGATGAAGCTATCACCATCTTACAAAAGAAAACTTAATAGATGAAAATTAGTAAAGCTAAAGGTTTACCACAAAATGATAAAGTATGTCAAATAAAATATGCACTGAAATATAGTAAATACCTTTAAAAAATTGGTATACAGTGAAAACTTAAATTCCTCAAAGGCAAGAAGTATACATCTCTTTATTCACTATCTCCCCTTCCCCATTCCTACCAGATTATACAACAAGGAACAAAAATAAAATATACTTGTACAAAACAAACTGATTAATTCAATTAAGTAACAGTACACCTGAATTTGCTTAATGTTATGAATGCCTGAAGAAAACACAGATATAAACAGATACAGTTAATCAGAAAGGCCATATTAGGAACTCTTCTTCACCCATGTATATCATAATTGCTATAAAAGATTTAACATACTATTAAATGTGGGTATGCCTAGTGCAAATATTTTAAGATCTTCAAATTATGTATGTTTGCAAAGACATATATATCACATGTAATACTATCCTAAAAATAAAAGAAATAAAATAGAACACCTGCTGCTTACCAGACTCACTTAACCAGAACCAGAAATACAAACAGAGGTAGAAAAAAGGTAAAGAAGATCGGAAAGTGACATTAGAACTCAAAACATGCTATAACTTAGTTCTAGAAACTTCTGAAGTCAGTAAAATTTGGAGAGGTTAAAACGAACAAGCAAAAAAGCAAAACGTAAAGGGAATATTGGCATAAACAGTGGATGGTCGGCTACCATATGTACCTGTGTGACCTTGTTCAACTCACTTAACTTCTCTAGGCCTCAGATTCCCCATCTGTAAAATGAGAAGGTTGGACTAAATGATCTCTTTCAGGTACTCTCCAGTTCTGAAAGCTTATGATTCCATGTGGGGAAGGGGCATTAAAATATATGCATTAAGAGCTACCCTCAACTAATAAACAGACTTCATTAACTTGGGAATCCAATGGTTGGAAATATAAAAACAAACAGGCAGTTAGGTTCCTAGGCTCTCTCCAATGCCAACTTTAACCATAATAATGTTAAGTGACCTACAATACTGATAGTACAGCTGAAGTCCTAAGTTCTTAAAGCAGGAAGTCACTACACACAGGAATGAAAAGAATTTCCTTCCCTTTCTTTGAATATGTTAAACTAGAATAAAATTTTGAAAAAGGCCGAATTTGTCTTTGGTGTCCTTCGATTTCCATTCTGAGACTTTCTAAATCCCCAGTTCTGATAGTCTAACCCTGAAGTGACTCAGTTTAATGGCTTCTAGCTTTTGAAAGTTCTTGTCCTTTTTTATTACTTATATTCTGAATCCAGTTGTGCAAAAAATACAAAGCTTTGTAGTTTTTATTTTCCTCCAAAGAAACACTATGGTATCCGCAACAAGGCTCTTTGTAGGAGAGGTTTATCAGGAAAAGAGAAAGACCCCTAAATGCATAGATCATTTGTAAGCTGGACCCATTAAGTTTCCATAACACCTTTTACTTTCTTTTATCTTGTTGCCTATTGCCACCACAATTCTCTCCCACCCCCAACATACAGACACCACAATCTGATGATAATGAATTCGCTGCCATATTCTAAACACTTTTATGCCAACAAGCTTCTTACAATGCCATTCCTTTGGCCTGTAACATCACTTCCCCTCCTCTCCTTGGCTTGAAAGTCAACCCTTACTGGTCCTTTTCACCCCAGCTCAAACTTGCCTTCCTTTATGAAACCTTCTTTATAAGGTAAAATTAGTGTTTCCAATGTTCTCTTCATTGCAACCTTCTATAGCAGAGTTACTTCTTCTGTAATGCTTTGTCTACCTTTTACATTAGAATGTAAGCGACTTGAGAATGGGAGCTACATCTTACTCACCTCTGTACACACCCCCCCAACATGTTTTGTGTTATCTAATAAGTGATAAGGACTTAACAAACGTTTGTTCCTTCATGACTCTGAGAAAAATCAGTGAAAACTTACTGAGAGTAACAATATCAATGTCCACTCCACTCTCAGTACTTCTGACGTTTTATCACACTAGAAAGATCACTAAATTACAGATAAATTTTTCCTATCTATAATTTATAGATATCACATGGGAAAGATAAAAGTCAAGTAAAAAATAACACGTTTTATGTGCCGATTTTTACAAATCAGAAAATAGTCAATATTTTGAGAAGGAAAAACAGTCTTCATGGGCAAAAAGAGTTAAGTTTTCTCTTCCTTCCTTCCTTTTTACCTTTTCACATCTCTACTCCCAAAGTCAAAAGAAAAACAAAAAGTTAAAGATAAGGTCAACTAGCTCTATCAATCAGGTGGGCAGTCCTTAAAACTCTGTCCTAGACAAGACAAGCCACCTAATTCAGCAATTTTAAATAACTTAGGTGATGTACAGTTAGAGAATGCCCTAACAGCTTTTTCAGTCAATAGCTCTAGAGACACAGGATAAACAAAATTATATTCACTCTGAAGTATACCTCCATGGAAGATGCTATTAGTGCTTTAACAGAAGCTCTACTGTGAATTACACTTCAAATTACCACACGGTTATGGGCTCAAATATGGGCTAGATGCCAAGTCATTTAAAGCAGATCAAGTAACATGAATCTGTGCCAACAATGTTTTACCTCATCACTACACTTTCTAAATGATCTAACAATGCTCTTGGACTTCTTGACTTAATCGGTTTAGGAATACAATTCTGTTAAAATGTATCTTTAACTCTACCTCACTCTAACAAGCAGATAACTTTCACTTAATAGTTGTTTTAGAAGATATTTGCAAGCATACAAATAAGAAAACATACTTACAGATTGTATATCTTGTAATGGTTTTTATGCTTTGAATCCAAAAACCTTAAAACAAAACAAACAAACAAAAAGCCACCATTAACAAAAATGAGCTAACATTTGAAATTACATTAATACTATCAAGAAAAACCAAAAGACAGATTTTCTTTTTCCTAATCTCAAATACCATTTAAGTGAAAATAAATAATCCAACAAATACCCCTTCTATGGGTTTAGAGTAGTAATCATGTCATTCTTAAATAATTATTACATTACACAGATTTATACAATCTGAAGTAAAACCAGAGCTTTTCAGAGAATATTTTCATAATCTTCTATCTTCAACCTAACATAATGAGACTGAATATTAAGACATAACTTCTTTAAAAAGCATTAGCATTTAGTGCAAGTATACCTAGCTCATAGAGATTTACAAGACAGTCATAATCAAGTACTCTTAAAAATAACCCTGAAAATTCAGACATCATTTTCCCATCAAACTGAAAACTTTTGATATTTGAAAGATCCACGTACTAACTATTAATTCTGTACAAAGGTATTAAACATTTTCACATATATACTCCATTCGACCCTCACAAACATCTGAGAGCTAGAGCTTATTAACACTATACAGAAGAGGGAGGTAGGTCTCAAAGAGATTACATAACTCGTCCAAGGTCATGTACAGCCAAGAAGTCAAAGAATCAAGACCAAAGACCTTTCCCTCAAGACAGTTATGAAAGTAAACAACAATTACAGCTAACACAAGCACTTACTATATGACAGACATATCCTAAGCACCTCAGGTATATAAACTGTTTAATCCTCAACCCCATAAGATAGGCAAAAGAAGGGCTAGAAGACCATGAAGCCGAGGAATTAACAGAATATACAGAATAAAAAGACAAATGAAAATCAGAAGACTAAACAAAAACTAAGAGTTCAGGATGTTAAATATATTTTAGGAGTTCCAGAAACAGAGAACACTGAGAAGAAACCGAAGACATAACTCAAGAAAAATACTCAAAAGTGAAGGATGTGAGTTTTCAAACTGGAAAGTTGCATGAGTACCTGGCAAAACAGATGAAAATAAGACCAAAATAGAAGCACACATATCTCATGAAATTTCTGAATACCAAAGAAACAGAAGATCCTAAAAGCTGCCAGAGAAGAAACAGGTTTCATAAAAGAATCTAGAATCAAAATGACATTATCCTTTTTAACAGCAATACTAGCAGCTAAAAAACAATTGGGCAAAACCTTCTGATTTTGAGGGAAAACTCTTCTCAGCCTAGAATTCTATACCAAGACAGACTATAAATCAAGTGTGACTATATAATAAGGGCATTTTAAAATCAGCGAAATCTCAAACCATACACTTTGTCAGGAAGTTACTAAAGATGTGCTCCGCCAAAACAAGAGTGGGAAACCATGAAAGAAGATGACAGTCTCCAAGAACTGAAGAATCTAACCCACAAGAGAGGAAAAGGGAATCCCTAGAATGATGGTGAAGGGACATCTTGAGTAGACAGCCATACAGCAAGCCAGGAAGAACAATTAGTCCAGACTGGGACAGATTAGAAGGCACCTGGAAAAGATAAAATTGATATAATGCCAAATGTGCTTAAACATGTTGAGAGATTTATACAATTAGGGGTGAGTTTATGAATTAAAGCTAAGAACATTGAAAACTAATTTTTTTAAAAAAAAGAGAGACAACTGTGAAGTCCAGAAAAAATAAAACATGCAGGAAAAAAGTCACAATATACTCTATCACTTAACTATGAATGGCATTTATCTAGTTATAATCCCATAAAAACTCAATATTGATATAACCAAAATTATAATGTAACTACTGGCAGGAATTATAATACAACTACTGGCAAGAAGAAGGATGAGGAGGAAGTCTGAAAATATGTGTGTGGTGATGTGGAAAAAAAGAGTATATGAACTTGAATCTGAAAAATTATGTTACAAAGTACTGCAAGCAGTATTTGTAACTGTCAGCAACATAAATTATATATTTTTATATCACACTACAGTTGTTGCAGATAGGCTACCATCCTTAAGAACAAAGAAACATAGTGCCCCTTGCTTTCAGCATGGTGGCTCTTCTCTGATACAGAAGGAAATGGAACTCAAGTGGAACACAGATTTCACTGAGGTAAACAGGAAGAGATTAGACTGCTAAGGCTGTTGGAGTTTGTGGAGCAAGGGACTAAGAATTTTGTATGGATTTCATCTCAGGTCCTTGGCTGGGGGCTGGGCTGTCTATGCGCAGGATCTGAAAGCATAACGGAGATGACGCCAGAGGTAACGAAATATAATACTGGGAGAAGCTGGAGTTCTGGCCTAGGCAAAGTGGAAGAGACCTCATGGAACACCCCAGATACTTAGCTGAGACATTGGAAAGGGCAACCTTGAAGTTAAAAACCATGCCCTAGGACAAAAGACAAATCTGAAAAATGCCTGCTTTAACAAAGAGAACCAAACCTGACAATACTAAATCAACTATCAATTTAAATGCCTGACAAAATGAAACTCAGCACCCTTAAAGGAAGTAACAATCCAAACTCCCTACATTTCAACATACGATTAAAATTTACTAGACAGGCAAAGCAGAAAAACATGACCTATTACAAAGAAAAAAGAGCAGGCAATAGAATCAGACTCCAAGATGAACCAGATGTTTGAATTAACAGACAGTGACTTTAAAACAGTTACTATAAATATGTACAAAGATGTTAAAAAACAATGAATACAATGAGTGAAAGATGGAAAGTCTCTGCAGACATAGAAAATACAAAAGACAGCAATTTGAGGCCTCAAAAGTACAATATCTAAGAAAAAAAATCTATCGGATGATCTCAACAGAAGATTGTAAACTGTAGAAGAAAGGTGTGGCAGATTGTATTTTCCAAAAATTCATTTAGCAAATATTTATCAAGCACCTGTTATGTAACAAATACTACTGTGGGCATAGCGGCAACAGAACTCGAAGTAATGACAACCATAATAATGAATGCTTCTAGCAGCCTGAGAAACCCGATGGAGAACTAGCTTTTGGTATCTCATTTGGAAAACAGCCTAAGGACATTGGACAGCTCCCACCAATCCTAAAATAAACGAAAAGAAAAATTAGCATCTGAAAAAGTAAAATAATTATTTATTTGCTACTTTTTCCCATGGCTAATTCGCTATTTGGTAACCATATATATTTCCCCTTGTATTAGTCCATTCTCACACTGCTATAAAGAACTACCTGAGACTGGGTAATCTTTTAGAAGAAGAAAGGTTTAATCAGAGGCCTCAGGAAACTTACAATCATGGCAGAAGGCCAAGGGAAAGCAAGCACGTCCCCGCGGCAGGAGTAGGAGGAAGAGAGAGAGCAAAGAGGGGAGGTGCTACACACTTATATACAAGCAGATCTCAGGAGAACTCTTTCGCGAGACAGCTCTAGGGTGATAGTGCTAAAACCATTACAAACCACTCCCATGATCCAATCACCTCCTACCAAGCCCCTCCTCCAACACTGAGGATCACAACTCCACATGAGATTTGGGTGGGGACACAGAGCCAAACCTTATCACTCCTGCTACATTCATGTTTAATCAACATTTGCTCTTAGAACCCTAGTGTAACTACAGCGGTTACTGCTGTTACTAACGCATAAATTTACACATAAATCATCCCTGCCTTAATCCCATCAACACAGGCAAGCTCCAAACATTTCAATTCTTAACTAATGCCTCCTGACCATCTTCAGGATGGTTATTAGAATTAATTCTGTTACGTATCCAATACATGGAAAGTAACTATCTTGTTTAAAATGTTCTTGTTTGTAACTTTCACCTGCACAGTACTGCTTTCTCCTACATTGCCTCAAGTTAAAGAAAAAATAATAACAGTTTTGAATAATTCTGCTCAAAAATAGTGATTCCTAGTACTCAAGAAAATCTAATCTCTCTAAATAGGTATAAAACTGGAGGGAAAAGAAATAAACAGTGCCAGGCCAGGCGCAGTGGCTCACACCTGTAATCCCAGTACTCTGGGAGGCCAAGGCGGGCAGATCACTTGAGGTCAGGTGTTCGAGACTAGCCTGGCCAACACAGTGAAACCCTGCCTCTGCCAAAATTAAAAAAATTAGCCAAGTATGGTGGAACGCGCCTGTAATCCCAGCTATTGGGGAAGCTGAGGCAGGGAGAATTGCTTGAACCCGGGAGGTGGAGGTTGCAGTGAGCCAAGATCGTGCCACTGCACTCCAGCCTGGGCAACAAAACGAGACTCCTTTAAAAAAAAAAAGAAAAGAAAGAAAAGAAAGGGAAGAAAGGAAGAAAGGAAGGCAAGGCAGGCAAGGCAAGGAAGGCAGGCAAGACAGGCAAGGAAGGGAAGGAAGGGAAGGAAGGAAAGAAAGAAAGAAAGAAAAGAAAGAAACAGTGGCAGAACTGACCTATAACTCACTAAGAAATTCAGAAGGCTATCAAAAATAATCTTAAAAACTGCCAAATATTTCTCCCAAGAAATCATATCATTTTGTGCTCTAACCAACATGCATAAGAGTTCCAGTTAATCTATGTCTTTGCCAATTCCTGTAAGCCCTTTTTGAGCCATTCCAGTAAATATGAGCTATCTCATTACGTTTAAATTTTCATTTCCCTGATGACTGATTTTAAACATCTTTTCATATGCCTACTGGCCATCTATATATCTTCTTTTGTAAAATTTCTGTTTCCATTTTTTGTTTTTTTTTTTGTTTGTTTGTTTTGAGACAGGATCTCACTGTGTTGCTCAGGCAAGCGTGCAGCGGTGCGATCACAGCTCACTGCAGCCTCCGCCTCCCAGGCTCAAGCTATCCTCCCACCTCAGCCTCCCAAACAGCTAGGACTACAGGTGCATGCCATCATGCCCAGCTAATTTCTTGTATTTTTTTATTTTGTAGAGACTGGGTTTCACCATGTTGCCCAGGCTGGTCTCAAACTCCTGGGCTCAAGCAATTCACCCACCTCAGCCTCCAAAAGTGCTGGCATTATAGGCATGAGCCACTGCACCCGGCCTGCCCTTCTCTTTATGGGGTTATTTTCTCATTATGAAGTTGTAAGAGCATCTTTATGTATATATTATACATTCAAGTCCTTTTTCAGATATATGTATTGCAAATATTTTCTCCAAAACTGCTTGCCTTTTCATTTTGAGTCTTTCAATGAGCAGAAATTTTTAATGTTGATAAAGTCAAATTTGTCCATTTTTTCCTTATATAGTTAATTTTATATGTACTGTCTAAGAAATCTTTAAACCAAAAGTCACAGAGATTTTCTCCTATGTTTTCATCTAGAAGTTTTATATTTTTAAATTTTACTTTTACATTTAGGTCAACAATCCACTTCAAATTAATTTTTGTATATGATAAGACATAAAAGTCAAGGTTCACTTTGTTTTCTCTATTGTTCCAGTATTATTTGTTTAAAAGATTATCCTTTTCCCATGAATAATCTCAGCACCTTTGTCAAGAAATGTGTATGTGAACTTTTCTGGAATCTACTCTGTTCAACTGATCTACATCATGTGACCCAACAATTCTACTCAAAGGTATTGAATAAACAGAAACAAAAATATATGTCCACAAAAGTCTTGCACATGAATGCTTACAGCAGCTTTGTTCATAACAGACCCAAACTGAAAACAACTCAAATGCCCACCACACTAATAAAGAAATGTCATATCCATACAATGTAATATTAGTCAGCAATAAAAAAGAACAAATTATTGATACTAGTAACAACAGGGATAAATTTCAAAAATATTATACTAAAAGAAAGAAGCCAGACACAAAAAGGAATACATGCTATATGACTGTATTTATATGTAATCCTAGTATAGGCAAAGCATATAGAAAGCAGATCAGAGATTGCCTGAAACCAGGTTTGGGGACTGACTACAAATGGGCATGAGGGAAACTTTTCATAAAGCGAGTGTTCTAAATCTTGGTTGTTGTGTTTACAAGAAGGTGTGTGTTTACAAGAAGGTGTGTGTGTGTGTGTGTGTGTGTGTGTATTTCTCAAAAGTCAATGAACCGTACATTTAAAATGGGTAGATTTTATTGCATGTAAATTATACTCCAATAAAGCTAATTTTTAAAAGTAATATAAAAAAAGTAATATAAATAGCCTCTGATTTAGAAATATCAGTATGTAAAATGCAACCTACCTTTAAAAAGACTCAAATTTATTTTGATTAAGCTAGAGGACAGCAACAGAAAGAGTACATCAACTTCAGGAATTAGAACTTTTTAGAATGAGAGGCAGAATGACACTGTATAGAACAGCACTGTCTAACAGAACTTTTGCAATAATGAAAATGTTCTGTATCTGTGCTGTCTTAATACAGTAATCACAAGCCACATGTAGCTACTGAGCACAAGAAATGTAGCTAGCAAAAACAACTCAGTAAATTTATTTTATTTTATTTACATTTAAACATAATGATAGCTACATGTGGCTAGTGGCTACCTACACTGGATAACAGATATCTAAAGGATATCTATCTATGAAAAAAAAAATCTGCTGGGATACAATACACATGCTCCCTAGTCAGGTAGTAGAAATGGGTACATCCTTAGAATAGAGCATAAAATTGGAACAGAGAAAAGGTACAGTAAAAATTAGAGACTTCACAGCTGTCAAAATATATACTAAACATATTTTCAACTACATGCAGTTTTCCAATAAATTCTTGCCATGCTTGATTAATTTGCTTCTGTCATTAGATTAGAAAGAAACTACAATTCTGGATATATTTCTAACTAAGAATGAGGAACAAGTTTGAGTGGAAATGCCAGGAAACAGGGAGAAAGTGTTCACATAATTTTAGAGTTCACGTCAGACAAGGAAGGAAATACTGGCGTAGTTAGATATGATACAGATCAGTAAAACAGATTTCAAAAGCTTCATTTAAATAACAGGCTATGAATTCATAACTCAACCTATAATGAAAGACTTGTGGTTTTAAAAACTAAAATTCTGTATAAACAACTACAAATGACTCCAGTTTAAAAAAGACAAAGGAGGAAATACACAAATTATCTAAAATCAACCAACACAGCTGCAGTGAATTTACCTTCAAAGCTCAGATTCAAAACGTACATATATATATTATAATAGCCAAAAAAGGGGATGAGAGATAATTACAGATGAAACAAAACAGCAGCACATATAAAGGAACATGAAAATAGTAAAAACAAAAGGCTTGGAGGAGGGGAGAATGTTCACACCAAAAAGAACAATAAAAAAATTAGGCCAGGTGCAGTGGCTCATGCCTGTAATCCCAGCACTTTGGGAGGCCAAAGCAGGCAGATCACTAGAGGTCAGGAGTTCAAGACCAGCCTGGCCAACATGGTGAAGTCCCATATCTACTAAAAATACAAAAATTAGCCGGGCATGGTGGCACATGCCTGTAGTCCCAGCTACTCAGGAGGCTAAGGCAGGAGAATTGCTTGAACCTGGGAGGCAGAGGTTGCAGTGAGCCAAGACTGTGCCACTGCACTCCAGCCTGGGCAACAGAGTGAGACTTTGTCTCAAGAAAGAAAAAAGAAATTAGACTCCCACACATTAAACAGCTATATAATGCTAAAGACAAGGAAAAAGGCAGGAACTCTTAAATTCCCTTTTCACTTTTATCTTCTCTATCCAAAAGAAGATGATTCAGTAAGTAAGGAGTAGTGGGTACATGACAGTTCTCTTTATTGAAAGCATTTCCTACTTGCTAATTTAAGCAAGGTGACTTTTAAAGAATATTTCTTAATAAACAATCAATAATGCAAAACAAAAGATAACCCACCAAGTTCTTTATGCTATTATTGTTTCATCTGAATTTTGTAGTCACAAAATTCAAATGGCAAGAGAAGCAGAACATTAGACAACTGTCTGAAGAAAGAATAAAATTGGTTTCCTGAAAATCATTAAGGAAAATACAAACAAACTAAAAGAAAAATAAGTTGAAAATAGGGTCAGTATATACATACACACACACCAGAAAGTACATAAGACCAATACATCAAAAAGTCGCTAAACCTCACAATTAAAAAAACACGATCAAATAACAAGATACCATTTTTTGCCAACAAGCTATAAAAAGTTAAAGTTTGAAACTATTCAGTTTGCCAAAGTTAGTGGGGATAGAAGGAAGAAGCACTCTTAAACAGTGAGTATATAAAATACCATTTTTGAAGGCACTAGTTTAAACCATAGACGCAATGGACCTAGCAACTCCACTGCTAAGAATTTGCCTTAAAGATATACTTGGAAAAGACAACAAGATACATATGTGAACTGTTCTCAATGACAAAAAAAAAACTGGAAACAACTTATATATTCATCATAGGGGCCTATTAATGATAGCATGATCATAAAATGAAATAAAAGGTAGTTAATAAAAGAATCAGGTAGGTAGATGTCCACAACAATATGGAAGATTCCTCAGATATAAAATTTTTGAAAGGGGCCAAACAGTGGTAGTATGTTCCCATTTGCTTTTCTTAAAAAGTGGGTAAACAATGAAAACAATTTTCAAAAGAATATGTGAAACTTTAAATTACAGATATAGTTAGGAAGAGGGTAAAATAGGAGAAATTTGTAGGGGATATTTGTCATCTTCAGGCTGTTAGGCAACCAAAATACCATTTCAATTTGGAGATAATTTCAAGAGATTAGAAGCAGATACTTCTTTCCTCATCTTTCTCTTAACACATGTACAGGCCTGATACCAACTATTAATAGATCTTTTTGCCGTGGATACCGAATCCTAGTGAGGACAAGGTACAGGAGAGTCAGAGATTATTCCTAGAGATCACCAGAGGAGGTGAGTTAATGAGCAGAGTCACCAGTTTCGAGGCATAGTGGCAGCAGCTATTACACCAAGTGTCCAAGCAGCAAAGTCCTAAGCAGATTGCTCCTGTTGAAACCTTGGGGCCATGTCTTGCTTCCCTTAGCTTCCACCTATCTTCCAAGTCTTGTTGTCAAACTATGACCTACCTAATACTTTTTTAAAAATTCCTTTCTGATTAGGTAAATCAGAGTCACTTTCTATCATTTGCAACCAAGAATTCTGGTTTCTTTTACAGCATTTTCCCATAATTTTGTTTTTAGTGAGGGCTGGTGAAACCATGCTCTTTTGTGAGCTCCCTTTAATATTTGAACTTTATGATTTCTTACCTACCACTGTGAACAACTGTGAGACTTGCAGGAGAATAAACAATCTATTTAAAAGAAAGTATTACAACAGTTTAAAAAGGGGATGAGGTTATGTTCTCTCAAAGAACTTGACTATAACTTAGGGAAACATTCACCATGGCTGCCCCTCCCACTTCCTTCTCTTTCCTCCCAAGGATTTCATGCCCACAGTTGGCTGATTGCCTTATAAGTCTGACACAATGGAAAGGCGGAAAAAAAGCAAGAAAACAGCACTTTCCAAAGGGAAATGGGAAAATTTGCCTATAGATACTTGGAAAGTAGAGACTAAAAAAGTAGATAAACAAAAGCAGAGAGGTAATACTCCCAAAACTTGGATAATCTAGACTACAAATCTTTCTAATATAAACATACCTTACTTCCAATAATTTCAATATATAAACATCTAAACCCATTAATGACTCACAGATTTGAGAACACAGTCTTTTTTTTTTTGTACTTTGTGTGTAAATTATACTTCAATAAGCCTAACTTTTTAAAAAGCTTCACATGCTGCAAAATATCCCTTATGGGCAGACCTCTTACCTGGGCAAGGAAAGAGAGCAGAAAAAAGAAACAAGCACAAGAATGTGGGGCTACTTAAGGGAGTGTAGTAGTGGGGCACTGACAGCACAGACCTCGGTATGTCTTTGTGAAGTCTGGCGGTCTTGGGGATTAAGAACTGGCAGCTCTGATTGTTAGTCTGGAGCAGCTTCTACCTCCCTGGGAGGCCACTGTGCTCTCTATCCCACCCCTGAGGGATTAGGGAAGGAAAAGCATAGCAGGCTTGCCCAGGGCCTGACTACGACCCAGGTAGGTGGGGACACTAGGTACCTGCCCCAGCAGAGATGGCTTTCAGGTATACAGGTTGCTGCGCCTTCTGAAACTCACAGGGCAGCACTCAGACCATGCAGGCCCAAAGCCCTGATGCCTCCTGCAGGTTACACTTCCCGACACTTGCAAAAGGCTAGCACGAGAAGCACCCATAAGCAGGGTGAGAAAATCTGTCTTCATTTTTTAAATTCTTTACTTTCTTCACAGTTCCTATGAAACAGATCTAAATAAGCTTCAAGAATACGTTTTAAAATTATTTTTGACAAAATAATAAACATATACCTTTCAAATGATAAAATAAAAAAAGTTTGGAATAAAAAATTTGTCTAAGAGCTGGGTGCAGTGGCTCACACCTGTAATCCTAGCACTTTGGGAGGCTGAGGCGGGTTGATCACCTGAGGTCAGGAGTTCGAGACTAGCCTGGCCAACATGGTGAAACCCTGTCTCTACTAAAAATACAAAAAATTAGCCAGGCATGGTGGTGCACGCCTGTAATTCCAGCTACTTGGGAAGCTGAGGCAGGAGAATTGCCTGAACCCGGGAGGCAGAGGTTGCAGTGAGCCGAGGTCATGCTACTGTACTCCAGCCTGGGCGGGCAACAGAGTAAGACTCCATCTCAAGAACAAAAAAAAAAAATTAGTCAAAGAAAGATGGCAGAATCAGAAGTACCAGGAACCCATCTCCCCACCTAGACGACTGTAAGCAGAATCTGTGATTCTGGAACTCTGGAGTCTATTCAGGTTTTCAGTTTCTAAGGAAAGACTTGAATGGTAAATCAGTTAGTTTGAGTCAATTTCAGCTCTTTGTGCCGTCGCGGCTACCCATCACCCACTCTCAAAGCAGGCAACCATGCACATGTTCCCAGAGCACCCTGCACACAGTTTGTAAGAGTCAAGGTTGGCAACAAAGACCTTGCCCTCCAAATATCAGGAATCTGTGTTCTGATTGCTAATTGCTGCTTCTGATCAAAATGTGACACAGAGGCAGACTATCATTATTTAACTGCCATTGGCTGAAAAAATTGCTCCAGGGATTTAAAGATCCAGAGCTATTTCACCCCTTTGATTTATTTTTAATTTTTAATTTTTATTTATTTATTTATTTATTTTGCCTTTTAGGAGCCAAACATTTAAGGAGGATACTACTGCAAAAGAACTGCATACATAGGGCAATTTAGAAAGTCACTACACATGCCCAGGGAAAAACACAGGCCGAGAAGATCTTAAGATTACACCCAGCATAGAAATACTCTACAACAAATAAAAAAACCAAACAAAATAGCACATCTTAGAGAAAAGAGAAAAATCTAATTTCCAAAGTTACCACTCTTTAAGATTCAAATTCCAGTTTTTGACAACAACAACAAAAATCACAAAGCATACCAAAAAAAAAAACTACCCCAAGCAAAACATTAAGTATAGGCCAAAAGGAAAAAAATAAATTAACAGAAACTGTGCCTGAGAAGATCAGATGGCAGACACTTACTAGACATAGACTTTAAAACAAATGTTGAAAGGTGCTCAAAAAGCTAAAGGAAGATATGGATAATGTCAAAAAACAAAATTGAAATATCAATAAAGAGAAAACATAAAAAAATCAAAAAATAAATGCTGGAGCTGAAAAGTACAAAAACTGAAATAAAAATTTACTAGAGGAATTCAAAAGCCAATTTGGGCAGGCAGAAGAATCAGTAAACTTGGAAGGCAGAACAGCTGAAAATACCACGTGTCTGAGGAACAGAAAAAAAAAACTGAAGGAAAATTGAAGACAAGAGCCTAAGACACCTGTGGAACACCATCATCAAGTGGACCAACACATACACACTCTGGGAATCCCAGAATAAAAAGAGAGAAAAGGGGCAAAAAAGATTATGTGAAGAAATATTAATCAAAAACTTCCCAAATTTGATGAGACATGAATATAAATATTCAAGAAGCTCAATTAACTCCAAGTAGGAAAAACTCAGAGATCCAAGTAGGAAAAACTGAGATAGATTATAATCAAACTATGAAAAAAGAGAATCCTGAACATGGAATGAGAGAAGCAACTTGTAACATACAAAGGGATCCTCAATATCAGCAGATTTCTCATCAGAACTCTTGAAGGACAGAAGGCAGTGGGATGATATATTTAAAATCCTGAAAGGAAACAAACAAATAAACACAAATACCTGTCAACTGAGAATACTATATCCAGCAAAAATGTCCTTAAAAATGAAGACATTAAGACATTTCCAGATTAACAAAATCTGAGAGAGTTCATTATCACCAGACCTGTCCTGCAAGAAACGCTGAAGTGAGTCTTTCAGGCTGAAATAAAAGGAGACTAGACAGTAACTTGAAGCTGTATTAAGAAATAAAGATCTGAGAAATGATAAATACATGAGCAATTACCAAAGCTAGCATTATTGTAACATTGGTTTACAACTCCACTTTTTGTTTTCCACAAATTAAGACACTACTGCATTAAAAAACAATTATTAGTCTACGCTTTTAGACACACAATACATAAAAATGTAATTTTATGACATCAATAACTGGAAGGGAGCAGGGACTGAATCTTATGAGCTGAATTTTTGTATGCTATTGAAAGTAAATTGGTATAAATTGAAATTGCAGTGTTATAACTTTAGGGCATTAAATGTGACCCCCAATGGCAACCACACACACACACACACAGAAAATAGCAGAATATAAACAAAAGGAAATAACAAGGAAATTAAAACACTTCACCACAAAATATCAACTAAACACAAGTGCCAGTAAGGCAGGAAATGAGGGACAAAAAAGCTGTAAGGCATATAGAAAATAAACAGCAAAATGGCAGCAGTTAAATCCTTATCAATAATTACTTTAATTGTAAATGATAAAACTCTTCAATCAAAAGGCAGAGTTTGACAGAATGTATAAGAAAAACACAATCTACAAGAGATTGTATATGCTGTCTACAAGAGACTCATTTCAGATCCAAAGACACAAATAAGGGATGTAAAAAGACATTCTATACAAGTAATAACCAAATGAGAGTGCAGGTAGCTACATTAATATTAGACAAACTAAATCAAAACAAGGTTGAGACAAAAAAGATATTACACATCAATAAGTGTCAATATAGCAAGAAGATATAATAATCAAAAACATTTACATGCCTAATAAGAGACCACCCAATTATATGAAGCAAAAAATTGACAGAATTGAAGGTAAACAGACAGTTCTGAAATAACAGCTGGACACTTCGATACCCTACTCTCAATAATGGACAAAAACACCCAGTCAGAATATAGGCAAGAAAATAGAGGATCTGGGCCAGACAAGGTGGCTAACGCCTATAATCCTAGCACTTCGGGAGGCCAAGGCGGGTGGATCACTTGAAGTCAGGAGTTCGAGATCATCCTGGCCAACATGGCGAAACCCTGTCTCTACTAAAAATACAAAAATTAGCTGGGCATGGTGGCATGTGCCTGTAATCCTACCTACTGGGGAGGCTGAGACCAGGAGAATTGCTCGAACCCAGGAGGTGGATGTTGCAGTGAGCCAAGATCGCACCACTGCACTCCAGCCTGGGTGACAGAGCAACACTCTGTTTTAAAAAAAAAACAGGGAACCAAATAAAGTATCTTCTATCACAACAGGATGCCACTGAAAATCAATAAAATCAATAACTGAAGAAAAAGTAGAAAATTCACCAACTGTGGAAATTAAAAAATACACGGTTAAACGCAGAAGAAATCACAAGGGAACTTAGAAAATACTTAGAAATAAATTAAAACAAAAAAACACAACATGCCAAAAATTACAGAACAGCAAAAGCAGTCCTAAGAGGGAAATTTGTAGTTGTACACATTTAATTGAAAACGATCTCAAATCAATAATCCAACTTCAAATCTTAAGGAACTAGAAAAAGAACAAACTAATAAACCCAAAGCTAGCAGGATGAAGGAAATAACAAAGCTTAGAGAGGATATAAATAATAGAAAAATAACAGAGAAAAATCAATGAAACCAAAAACTGGTTCTTTGAAAAAATTTTAACAATTGACCCAGCTTTACCTGTATTAAGATAAAGAAGATTCAAATTACTAAAATCTGAAATAAAAGTAGGGACATTAGTATCAACTGCACAGAAGTTTAAAAAAAAGAGAAGACAGTACTATGAACAATTGTATGCCAACAAATTAGATAATATAGATTAAATGGAGAAATAACGAGAAGTACAAAATGTACTAATACTGAATCACACACACAAAAAGAAAATCTGAATAGACCTATAACTAGTAACAAGACTGAATCAATAATAACAATAAAAAAATTCCAGACAAAAGCCCTAGATGTGATTTTTTTATCTGTGAATTCTATCAAACATTTAAAGAACATCGTTTTTTCCCAAAGTTTTGCCAAAAATGGATGAGGAAACACTTCCTAACACATTCAATGAGGCCAGCATTGCCCTGATAGCAAAGTCAAAGAAACTACAAAAGAAAACTATAGACCAGTAGCCCTTAGGAACATTGATATAAAGTCCTCAACACAGAACCAACAAACTGAATTCCACAGCTTATTAAATGGATTATACACGAAGACCAAGTAAAATTTATTCCTGGGATGCAAAAATGGCTCAATATATGAAAAACAATATATCATGTTAATAGAAAGAAGAAAACAAATCACATGGTCATCTCAACTAGCACAGAAAAAATATTTGAAAAAATTCAACAAGATTTTATGATAAAAACACTCAATAAACTAAGAATAAAAAGAAATTACCACAACATAATGAAGGCCATATATAAAAATCCCACAGTGGCCAGGCATGGTGGCTGACTATAATCCCAGCACTATGGGAGGCCGAGGCAGGTGAATCACTTGAGGCCAAGAGTTCGAGACCAGCTTGGCCAACATGGTGAAACCATGTTTCTACTAAAAATACGAAAATTAGCTGGGCATAGTGGTGGACACCTGTAATCCCAGCTACTTGGGAGGCTGAAGCAGGAGAATCACTTGAACCTGGCGGGAGGAGGAGGGTGCAGTGAACCGAGATCGCACCACTGCACTCCAGCCTGGGCGACACAGCGAGACTCTATCTGGGGGGAAAAAAAAAATCCCATAGCTAACATGATAGTCAATGGCAAAGAATTGAAAGCTTTTCCTATAAGGTCAGAAACAAGACAGGATGCCTGCTTTCACCACTTCCATTCAACATAGTATTGAATGTATGAGAGAGCATTAAGAAAATGAATAAAAATCATCTCAAATTGGAAAGGAACAAGTAAAATTATCTCATTTGCAGATGATATAATCTTATATGCAGAAAACCTCAAGGATTTCAAACACAAAAAAAGAATAAACAAACCCGCGAAGAAGCAGGGCACAAATTTAATGTGCGAAGAATCAGTTGTGTTTCTATACCCTAAGAATGAACAATTAGGAAAGGAAATTAAGAAAACAGATTTATAAGATCATCAGAATGAATAAAATACTTAGGAATTAACTTAACCAAGGAGGTAAAATACTTGTACACTGAAAATTACAAAACATTGCTGAAAGAAAAGAAAGAATACGTAAATAAATGGAAAGACATCTGGTGTTCATGGCTTTAAAGACTTAATATTGTTAAGATGTCAGTACTATTCAATGCAATCTACAGACTAATACAATCCCTACCAAAATCCCAACAATGTTTCTGGTAGAAATAAAAAAAAAAATCCAGGTGGGAGGAGGCGAGCTCAGGAAAAATAACTAATGGGTACTAGGCTTAATACCTGGGTGATGAAATAATCTATACAACAGAACACCTTGACACAAATTTACCTATGTAATAAACCTGCACATGCACCCCTAAACTTAAAAGTTAAAAAAAAAATCCATCCTAAAACTCACAAAGGGCCCTGAAGGGCCAAAACCATCTTGAAATATAAGAAGTTGGGGCCATGCACGGTGGCTCATACCTGTAATCGCAACACTTTGGGACACTGAGGAGGGCAGACTGCTTGGGCTCAGGAGTTCGAGACCCACCTGGGCAATATGGCAAAACCCTGTCTCTACAAGAAATACAAAAACTAGCTGAGCATGGTGGTATGTGTCTACAATCCCAGCTACTCAGGAGGCTGAGGTGGGAGGATTGCTTGAACCTCAGATGTGGAGGTTGCAGTGAGCTAAGATTGTGCCACTGCACTCCAGCCTGGGCAACAGAGCCAGATGCTATTTCAAAAAATAAGTAAATAAATACACAAGACATATACTTCCTGGTTTCAAATTTTACTATAAAGCTACAGTACTAAAATTAGGGTGGTCCTGACATAAAAAAACAAACATATAGTCTAACAGAATAGTCGAGAGAGCCCAAAAATAAACCCTTGCATCTATTGTCAAATAATTTTCAACAAGAGTGCCAAGACTATTCAATGGGGAAAAAGACACTCTTTTCAACAAATAATGCTGGGAAAACTAGATATTCACATCCAAAAGTGTGAAGCTGGACTCTTACATAACATTATATACAAAATTTAACTCAAAATGGATCAAACACCTAAATGTGAGAGCTAAAACTATAAAAACCTTCAGGAGAAAACATGGGGGAAAGTTTCATGGTATGAATTTGGCAATTATTTCTTGAATGTGACACCAAAGGTACAGGCAACAAAAGAAAACAGACAAGTTGGATTTTTTCAAGCTAAATAGCTCCTGCACAGCAAAGGAAACAATCAACAGAGTGAAAAAGTAACCCATTCTTTATGGGAGAAAATATTTGCAAATAACATATCCAATAAGGGATTAATATTCAGAGAATACAAAGAACTTCTTTTTCTTTTTTTTTGAGACAGAGTCTCGCTCTGTCACCCAGGCTGAGTGCAGTGGCACAATCTCAGCTCACTGCAACCCCCCCACCTTCCGGGTTCAAGCAAGTCTCCTGCCTCAGCCTCCCCAACAGCTGGGACTACAGGTGTGCACCATCACGCCCGACCACACCAGCTAATTTTTGTATTTTTAGTAGAGATGGGGTTTCACTATACCAGCCAGTCTGGTCTTGAACTCCTAACCTCGTGATCCACCTGCCTCGGCCTCCCAAAGGCACGAGCCACCGTGCCCAGCCAGAGTATACAAAGAACTTCTAAAACACAATTTAAAAATCCCAAACTACTCAATTCATAAATGGGCAAAAGGCTTCAAGAGACATCATTGCTCCAAAGCTGATATACAAATGACCAAATAAGCATGTGCAAATGTTCAATATCGCTGATCATTAGGAAAATGCAAATTAAAACCACAATGAGACTTCACACCCATTAGGATGGCTATTATTAAAAAAAAACATAAACAAAACAACACGATGGTGAGGATGTGGCAAATTCGGAACCCTAGTGTATTGCTGGTGGTAATGTAAAATTGGGCAGCCAGTATATCAAACAGTATGGTGGTTTCTCAAAAATTTAAATATAGAATTACCATTCAATCCAGCAATCTCACTTTTGGGTACATATCCAAAAGAAATGAAAGCAGATACTCAAACAGGTATTACATACCCATATTCATAGCAGCATTATTCACAACAGCCAAAAGTGTCTATTGATGAATAAATGGATAAACAAAATATGGTATATACATAACAATGGAATATTATTCGGCCTTTTAAAAGGAAGGAAATGCTAACAACTGCTACAACATGGATGAACCTCGAAGATAGTTAGTGAAATAAGCCAGTTACAAAAAGATATCACGTGATTCCGCTTATACGAGGTACCTAGAATAGTCAAATACATAGAGATGAAAGTAGAACAATGGTTGGTACTAACAGGAGGAGCAATGAGGAGTTATTATTTAATGGGTGTGGTATGTCAGTGTGGGATAATGAAAAAGTTCTAGAGATGGACAGTGGTGACAATTGCACAACAATGTAAATGTACTGAATGCTAGATGTTAATGCTACTGAACTGTATGTTTTATATATATATATCATATATATCATATATATATCATATATATCTCATATATATGAGATATATCTCATATATATATATACACACGCACACACATACACATATATATAAAATATATTATCACAGTAACAAAATTACTCATCTCTGGCCCTATTTATCTTCAAACCTTTATTCCTGCTTCTCCCCAGATGCAATCACCCTCAACTACTCGGATTCTTTTTCCTCCTATTTAATTAGGTATTTTAAAATATTATTCTTAATACTGCTTCTTACAGATTTATTAACTACAGATGTCCTGCCATGGTAAAGGAGACTTACAAAACTAGCAGTATTCCATACGTGTTTCACTTATCTTAATTCCCCTAAAATAGCAACATCACAATTTTGGGTTAACTCAAACCACCAATGCTAATAATTGTTTCCTTTTTCTAATTTGCTCAGTTTTGCAAGAATCCATTACATTTTTCTCCAAATATTTCAACATCCATCTATCAATTTGATTATTTTCCCGGAAGTTCTAATCTCCTGCTCCAAGCAAAACTGGTAACTTTTCAGCTTGTGTCACAGCTGTCATCCTGGGACTTTCTTCTTTGTTGCTTCTGAGTGGGATTCTCTGTTTACTGAAGCTCTTTTATTTCCTTTCTTGGTTTATTCCCTTGTTTTGTTGAACCACATCTTCTGGGTAATGTCCAAAAAAAATGTTCTTCATGAGCACATTTTTTTAGTCCTTGAGTTTTTCCCCCTACTTTCACACTTGATTGATGGTTTAACTGGATACAGAATTCTAGGCTGAATGCAGAACTTTCAAGGTGATGTTTTACCACCTTCTACCTTCAATTCTACTGCCAACAAGTTAGATGCTATTCATATTCCTAATCCCTCCTAGGCGATTCTAAAAAGTTTTTAGATATTATCTTTATTTCTGGTGTCCTAAAACAAATTTCATAATAATTTGCCTAGTATAGGGTTTCTTTTATTGTGCTTGGCACTATGTAGGTCTTTTCAATCTGGATGTTTCTCTCCTTTGTTTTCTCTTTATGAATCCTGTTAATTAGAGACAAGATCTCTACAATGATCCTATAGCACATTTTAATTGATAAAATTAACATATAACACTACAATATTGTCTAAAGCAGTCTGTACATATACAAATAATGTAATAACTAACATATATAGGTCTAACTACTAATTCTATGAGTTATACAGAATCAAAGTTACAATCTCAAAAACAGATGAGAAATGACAATGAATAATCTGTTCATTGACAGAGACAGGTCGGACATTACACAGCTCCAGCTGATTTTTGTCACGCAGGAATGTCAGCCAAGTGTTGGAAGATCCTTCGAAATTTCAAAAGCAGCTAGAAATATAGCTTTTTATGTGAGGTCTCAATTTTTAAATATAGGTAATGTATTTCAATTTTAAACATGGTATGAATCAACAGTGTGAGGTCAAATAAAGAATATTAACAAGATTAGCCCAAGAGTTGTACACAAGATAATATGGTTCCTAAGGAAACAACTTCGGAATCTGACAGACCAGAACTCAACCTTCAGTCTCACTACTTACTAAAAGTAATGCTTGGGGAAGTTAACTTCTTTTAAACCATCTATGAAATGGGGATAGATTTACTGTAGAGATTTAGTAAGATTATATACATAAACTGGCTATACAACAGTTACACATGCAAATAAGTATGTAAATAAATGCCCAATAAATATCTCCTATTATTAACATACAAAAAAATGCATTGGTGTAGATAATATAAACACTGTCAAATCCACTAAGGAATTAAGACTAATGAAAGAAGTAGGAGGTGGCCAGAACGGTGGCTCACGCCTATAATCCCAGCACTTTGGGAGGCCAAGGCAGGCAGATTACCTAAGGTCAGGAGTTCAAGGCTAGCCTGGCCAACATGGTGAAACCACGTTTCTACTAAAAATACAAAAATTAGCCAGGCATGTGGCGCGTGCCTGTAGTCCCAGCTACGGGAGGCTGAGGCAGGAGAATTGCTTGAACTCGGGAGGCAGAGGTTGCAATGAGATGAGATCGCCCCATTGCACTACAACCTGGGAAACAAACCAAGACCCCGTCTCAAGATTTAAAAAAAAAAAAAAAAAAAAAAGCAAGAGGCACCCAATAAGAACAGGGCTTTCTTTTGGGGTGATAAAATGTTTTGAAACTTGATAAAGGTAGAGGTAACACTGTGAAGGTAATAAATGCCACGGAATGTACACTTTCCGTGGTTAAAATGGTTAGCTGTTATGTGAATTTCACTTTATTAAAGAAAAAATGTGGGAAAAACGAGGTAATATGAGAGAAGGAGTCAGAATATGCTAGAAACAGAGAATGAAACTGATCATTCTTTCCTCTTTTGAAGCCTGCCTATAAATAACATCTCTTTAACTCCTTTTTTAAACTGAATAGCCAATACTGATGTTAGGGCAACAAATACTTCCTTTTTATTGAAAATCAACATACAACTAAGGTTGAAAGACTGAGAGATCAACATATTTCAAATATTTCAAAAGAATATTTGAGACTGGGAGTGGAGGCTCACGCCTGTAATCCCAGCACTTTGGGAGGCTGAGACAGGTGGACTGCTTGAGTTCAGGAGTTCGAGACCAGCCTGGAAAACATGGCGAAACTCTGCCTCTACTAAAAATAGAAAAATTAGCCATGTACGGTGACACACGCCTGTGGTCCCAGCTACTTGAGAGGATGAGGTGGGAGGATCGCTGGAGCCCAGAAGTCGAGGTGAACCATGATCACAGCACCACCGTACTCCAGCCTGAGTGACCGAGCGAGACTCTGTCTCAAAAAAAAAGGGGCGAGGGGGTGCTCTTGAATCTATTACACAGCTGCTTATACATGGGGGAAAAAGCTCACAGTGAACAAGACAATAAATAAATCTTTTTCAAAAATCACTATATATCAGAAGACTGTACTCTAAAAGCATTTCCTTATAATATAGGACTCATGCCACCAACAAAGAAAAGAAAAAGGAGGTAGAGGGAAAGGGAAAGAACAGAAAAGGAAAAGAAAAGCATCATACTAGAATCTCACTCTTGGGAGATTTACAATGCATAGTGGCATATTAAAGGTTCTGCAGTGAGAAAGACAGTTCACCTCTATTAAACCTCCATTCTCCTGATTTATAAGAAACAAACAATTCTTAAGTTATGCCTCTTAAACACATGAAGCACCAATTTTGTTAAAGACTGCCTAGATTTACACCAAATAACATAAATTGAAAAACTTCAGTATCAGCTTGAGGGATGAGATTAACATACATATTGGCCGGGTGCAGTGGCTCATGCCTGTAATCCCAGCACTTTGGGAGGCTGAGGCAGGCGGATCGCTTGAGCGCAGGAGTTTGAGACCAGCCTGGGAAACACAGCGAAACCCTATCTCTACAAAAAACACAAAAATTAGCCAGGCCTGGTGATGCGTGGCTGTGGTCCCAGCAACTTGGGAGGCTGAGGTGGGAGGATCACTTGAGCCCAGAAGGCAGAGGTTGCAGTGAGCCGTGATCATGCCTCTGCACCCCAGCCTGGGTGACAGAGCAAGAAACTGCCTTAAAAAAAAAAAAAAAAAAAAAAAGGTGGCATTCCAAGATGGTCAAATAGGAACAGCTCCTGTCTGCAGCTCCCAGCATGATCCACGCGGAAGACAGGTGATTTCTGCATTTCCAACTGAGGTACCTGGTTCTTCTCACTGGGACTGGTTGGAAAGTGGGTGCAGCCCACGGAGGGTGAGCTGAAGCAGGGCGGGGCATTGCCTCACCCAGGAAGCACAAGGGGTCGGGGGATGTCCCTTTCCAAGCCAAGGGAAGCTGTGACACACTATACCGGGAAAATTGGGACACTGCCACCCAAATACTGCGCTTTTCCAACGGTCTTAGCAAATGGCACAACAGGAGATTATATCCCGTGCCTGGCTCAGCAGGTCCTACGCCCACAGAGCCTTGCTCACTGCTAGCGTAGCAGTTCCAAATTGAACTTCAAGGCAGCAGCCTGGCTGGGGGAGGGGCGTCCATCATTGCTGAGGCTTGAGTAGGTAAAGTGGTTGGGAAGCTCCAACTGGGTGGAGCCCACCACAGCTCAAGGAGGCCTGCCTGCCTCTGTAGACTCCACCTCTGGAGGCAGGGCATAGCTGAACAAAAGGCAGCAGAAACTTCCTCAGACTTAAACATCCCTCTCTGACAGCTCTGAAGAGAGCAGTAGTTCTACCAGCACAGTGTTTGAGCTCTGAGAACGGACAGACTGCCTCCTCAAGTGGGTCCCTGACCCCCTTGTAGCCTAACTGGGAGACACCTCCCAGTAGGGGCCGACTGACACCTCATACAGCCGGGTGCCCCCAAGACGAAGCTTCCAGAGGAAGGCTCCGGCAGCAATATTTGCTGTTCTGCAATATTTGCTGTTCTGCAGCCTCCACTGGTGATATCCAGACAGTGTCTGGAGTGGACCTCCAGCAAACTCCAACAGACCTACAGCTGAGGGACCTGACTGTTAGAAGGAAAACTAACAAACAGAAAGGAATAGCATCAACATTAACAAAAAGGACATCCACACCAAAACCCCATCTGTAGGTCACCATAATCAAAGACCAAAGGTAGATAAAACCACAAAGATGGGGAGAAAACAGAGCAGAAAAGCTGAAAATTCTAAAACCCAGAGTGCCTCTTCTCCTCCAAAGGATCACAGCTCCTCACCAGCAATGGAACAAAGCTGGATGAAGAATGACTTTGACGAGTTGACAGAAGTAGGCTTCAGAAGGTCAGTAGTAACAAACTTCTCCGAGCTAAAGGAGGATGTTCAAACCCATCGCAAGGAAGCTAAAAATCTTGAAAAAAGATTAGACAAATGGCTAACTAGAATAAACAGTGTACAGAAGACCATAAATGACCTGATGGAGCTGAAAATCATGGCTCGAGAACTACATGACGCATGCACAAGCTTCAGCAGCCGATTCGATCAAGTGGAAGAAAGGGTATCAGTAATTGCAGATCAAATGAATGAAATGAAGCAAGAAGAGAAGTTTAGAGAAAAAACAGTAAAAAGAAATGAACAAAGCCTCCAAGAAATATGGGACTATGTGAAAAGACCAAATCTACGTTTGATTGGTGTACTTGACAGTGACGGGGAGAATGGAACCAAGCTGGAAAACACTCTTCAGGATATTATCCAGGAGAACTTCCCCAACATAGCAAGGCACGCCAACATTCAAATTCAGGGAATACAGAGACCACCACAAAGATACTCCTAGAGAAGAGCAACCCCAAGACACATAATTGTTAGATTCACCAAGGTGGAAATGCAGGAAAAAATGTAAAGGGCAGCCAGAGAGAAAGGTCGGGTTACCCACAAAGGGAAGCCCATCAGACTAACAGCAGATCTCTCCGCTGAAACTCTACAAGCCAGAAGAGAGTGGGGGCCAATAGTCTACATTCTTAAAGAAAAGAATTTTCAACCCAGAATTTCATATCCAGCCAAACTAAGCTTCATAAGGGAAGGAGAAATAAAAACCTTTACAGACAAGCAAATGCTGAGAGATTTTGTCACTACCAGGCCTGCCTTACAAGAGCTCCTGAAGGAAGCACTAAACATGGAAAGGAACAACTGGTATCAGCCACTGCAAAAACATGCCAAATTGTAAAGACCATTGATGCTAGGAAGAAACTACATCAACTAATGGGCAAAATAACCAGCTAACATCACAATGACAGGATCAAATTCACACATAACAATATTAACCTTAAATGTAAATGGGGTAAATGCCCCAATTAAAAGACAAAGACTGGCAAATTGGATAAAGAGTCAAGACCCATCAGTGTGCTGTATTCAGGAGATGTATCTCACATGCAGACACACACACAGGCTCAAAATAAAGGGATGGAGGAAGATCTACCAAGCAAATGGAAAGCAAGAAAAAGCAGGGGTTGCAATCCTAGTCTCTAATAAAACAAACTGTAAACCAACAAAGATCAAAAGAGACAAAGAAGGGCATTACATAATGGTAAAGGGATCAATTCAACAAGAAGAGCTAACTATCCTAAATATATATACACCCAATACAGGAGCACCTAGATTCATAAAGCAAGTCCTGAGTGACCTACAAAGAGACTTAGACTCCCACACAGTTAATATCGGGAGATTTTAACACCCCACTGTCAATATGAGACAGATCAACGAGACAGAAGGTTAACAAGGATATCCAGGATTTGAACTCAGCTCTGCACCAAGCAGACCTAATAGACATCTACAGAACTCTCCATCCCAAATCAACAGAATATACATTCTTATCAGCACCACATCACACTTATTCCAAAATTGACCACATAGTTGGAAGTAAAGCACTCACTCCTCAGCAAATGTAAAAGAATAAAAATCACAACAAACTGTCTCTCAGACCACAGTAAAATCAAATTAGAACTCAGGATTAAGAAACTCACTCAAAACTGCACAACTACATGGAAACTGATCAACCTGCTCCTGAATGACTACTGGGTAAATAACAAAATGAAGGCAGAAATAAAGATGTTCTTTGAAACCAATGAGAACAAAGACACAACGTACCAGAATCTCTGGGACACATTTAAAGCAGTGTATACAGGGAAATTTATAGCACTAAATGCCCACAAGAGAAAGCAGGAAAGATCTAAAATCAACACCCTAATATCACAATTAAAACAACTAGAGATGCAAGAGCAAACAAATTCAAAAGCTAGCAGAAGGCAAGAAATAACTAAGATCAGAGCAGAATTGAAGGAGATAGGACACAAAAAACCCTTCAAAAAAAAAATCAATGAATCCAGGAGCTGGTTTTTTTAAAAAACAAAATTGATAGACTGCTAGCAAGACTAATAAGGAAGAAAAGAGAGAAGAATCAAATAGATGCAATAAAAAATGATAAAGGGGATATCACCACTGATCCCACAGAAATACAAACTACCATCAGAGAATACTATAAACACCTCTATGCAAATAAACTAGAAAATCTAGAAGAAATGGATAAATTCCTGGACATATACACCCTCCCAAGACTAAACCAGGAAGAAGTTGAATCCCTGAATAGACCAGTAACAGGCTCTGAAATTGAGGCAATAATTAATAGCCTACCAACCGAAAAAAGTCCAGGACCAGACAGATTCACAGCCGAATTCTACCAGAGGTAAAAAGACGAGCTGGTACCATTCCTTCTGAAACTATTCCAATTCATAGAAAAAGAGGGAATCCTCCCTAACTCATTTTAGGAGGCCAGCACCATCCCGATACCAAAGCCTGGCAGAGACACAACAAAAAAAGAGAATTTTAGACCAACACCCCTGATGAACATCAATGCAAAAATCCTCAATAAAATATTGGCAAACCGAATCCAGCAGCACATCAAAAAGCTTATCCACCAAGATCAAGTTGGCTTCATCCCTGTGATGCAAGGCTGGTTCAACATACGCAAATCAATAAACATAATCCATCACATAAAGAGAACCAAAGACAAAAAACCACATGATTATCTCAATAGATGCAGAAAAGGCCTTTGACAAAATTCAACAGCCCTTCATGCTAAAAACTCTCAATAAATTAGGTATTGATGGAACGTATCTCAAAATAATAAGAGCTATTTATGACAAACCCACAGCCAGTATCATACTGAATGGGCAAAAACTGGAAGCATTCCCTTTGAAAACTGGCACAAGACAGGGACGCCCTCTCTCACCACTCCTATTCAACACAGTGTTGGAAGTTCTGGCCAGGGCAATCAGGCAAGAGAAAGAAATAAAGGGTATTCAATTAGGAAAAGAGGAAGTCAAATTGTCCCTGTTTGCAGATGACATGATTGTATATTTAGAAAGCCCCACTGTCTCAGCCCAAAATCTCCTTCAGCTGATAAGCAACTTCAGCAAAGTCTCAGGATACAAAATCAATGTGCAAAAATCACAAGCATTCTTATACACCAATAACAGACAGACAGAGAGCCAAATCATGAGTGAACTCCCACTCACAACTGCTACAAAGAGAATAAAATACCTAGGAATCCAACTTACAAGGGATGTGAAGGACCTGTTCAAGAACTACAAACCACTGCTCAACGAAATAAAAGATGACACAAACAAATGGAAGAACATTCCATGCTCATGGGTAGGAAGAATCAATATCGTGAAAATGGCCACACTGCCCAAGGTAATTTATAGAAACAATGCCATCCCCATCAAGCTACCAATAAATTTCTTCACAGAATTGGAAAAAACTACTTTAAAGTTCATATGGAGCCAAAAAAGAGCCCGCACTGCCAAGACAATCCTAAGCAGAAAGAAAAAAGCTGGAGGCATCACACTACCTGACTTCAAACTATACTACAAGGCTACAGTAACCAAAACAGCATGGTACTGGTACCAAAACAGAGATATAGACCAATGGAACAGAACAGAGCCCTCAGAAATAACATGACACATCTACAACCATCTGATCTTTGACAAACCTGACAAAAACAGGAAATGGGGAAAGGGTTCCCTAGTTAATAAATGGTGCTGGGAAAACTGGCTAGTCATATGTAGAAAGCTGAAATTGGATCATTTCCTTACACCTTATACAAAAATTAATTCAAGATGGATTAAAGACTTAAATGTTAAAGACTTAAATGTAGACCTAAAACCATAAAAACCCTAGAAGCAAACCTAGGCAATACCATTCAGGACATAGGCATGGGCAAGGACTTCATGACTAAAACACCAAAAGCAATGGCAACAAAAGCCAAAATAGTCAAATGGGATCTAATTAAACTAAAGAGCTTCTGCACAGCAAAAGAAACTACCATCAGAGTGGACAGGCAACCTATAGAATGGAAGAAAATTTCTGCAATCTACCCATCTGACAAATGGCTAATATCCAGAATCTACAAAGAACTTAAACAAATTTACAGGAAAAAAATCAAACAACCCCATCAAAAAGTGGGCAAAGGATATGAACAGACACTTTCCAAAAGAAGACATTTATAGACATTTATGCAGCCAACAGACACATGAAAAAATGCTCATCATCACTGGCCATCAGAGAAATGCAAATCAAAACCACAATGAGATACCATCTCACACCAGTTAGAATGGCGATCATTAAAAAGTCAGGAAACAACAGGTGCTGGAGAGGATGTGGAGGAACAGGAACATTTTTACACTGTTGGTGGGACTGTAAACTAGTTCAACCATTGTGGAAGACAGTGTGGCAATTCCTCAGGGATCTAGAACTAGAAATACCATTTGACCCAGCAATTCCATTACTGGGTATATATCCAAAGGATTATAAATCATGCTACTATAAAGACACATGCATACGTATGTTTACTGCAGCACTATTCACAATAGCAAAGAATTAGAACCAACCCAAATGTCCATCAATGACTGACTGGATTAAGAAAATGTGGCACATATACACCACGGAGTAGTATGCAGCCATAAAAAAGGATGAGCTTCACGTCCTTTGTAGGGACATAGATGAAGCTGGAAACCATCATTCTGAGCAAACTATCGCAAGGACAGAAAACCAAACACCGCATGTTCTCACTCACAGGTGGCAACTGAACAACGAGAACACTTGGACACAGGGCGGGGAACATCACACACCGGGGCCTGTCCTGGGGTGGGGGGTTGGGAGAGGGATAACATTAGGAGAAATACCTAATGTAAATGACGAGTTAATGGGTGCAGCAAACCAACACGGCACATGTATACATATGTAACGAATCTGTAAGTTGTGCATATGTACCCTATTACTTAAAGTGTAATAAAAAAGATTAACATACATATTACAGAATAATCAATTATCTGAATAAAACACTGTTTCATATTACCAGCATGTCAGGACAAGAGCTTAGCAGCAAGAAAGGAGGAAAACAGCAGTAGTAAGAGGAAAAGAAGAAAAAAACAATTTGGGAATAGTTAGCTTCTATGAGATGTGGCTTTCTTACTGTCAATTCCAAATGCTATATATATAAGCCAAACTGTTGCAATCAAGATAGTAAAAAACAGCAACAATAACAACAACAATAAAAAAGAGTAAAAAAATTACAGCTTGGTTCACTTTTCCCTCACTTTCTTTTGGCTTATTTTTTACATTAATTCCCAATCGTAGGCGGTAACCTCAAAAGGAGAAGTTAAATATTTGTCTCAAAAGGACTCTGAGTACCTCAAGTATAAAACTTCGCATTCCATAACAAATCATATCCCTCAAAGTTAAATAATACTGATCAATTTAGCCAGGCGTGGCGGCTCACACCTGTAATTCCAGAGGCCGAGACAGATGGATCACCCGAGGTCAGGAGTTTGAGACCAGACTGGCCAACAAGGTAAAACCCCATCTCTACTACAAATACAAAAATCAGCTGGGCGTGGGGGCGGGCATCTATAATCCCAGCTGCTCCGCAGGCTGAGGCAGGAGAATCGCTTGAACCCAGGAGGCAGAGGTTGCAGTGAGCTGAGATGGCACCACTGCACTCCAGCCTGGGCGACAAGAGTGAGACTCCGTCTCAAAAAAAAAAAAAAAAAAAAATACTGAGCAATGTAAGCTTGAAGGTATTTGCAATCTGAGTTTATTTTAGTCAAAGCAATGATGTAGTACAACAATAACAAAGTCTAATCTCTGCAGAGTATTTTCCGTTTGGGGAAAAATCACAGGAAAAATATGCAGTATAAGAGAAAAGGAAAATTTTAAATATTCTTTGGGCATTCTAATAGAGAGGGCAAACAAAAATCCAACTGAAAATACTTTCGTTAACAGAAAAATTAAGTATACAAAAATTTTAAAAACATTTTTCACTGTGACACTATCATCTTTGAACCAAAAAAGGAATCACTACTGATTACTAATATCCTCAATATAATGTGAACCAATCAAGGAAATTAATCACTTAGGTACTAGGCACAGCCATTCTCTTGGAGACTTTAATCCTAACAGGCAAATTACTTAGGAATTATTTATTTCCATTTTAGTTGATAGAAAAAAACAATACCTTTATTTCTGGTCACTGTTCATCCTTTCTCTCATAAAAGAAGAGGAGGGGCCTGGGCAATAGAGGCTATCAAAGCTTTATTGGCCAATTATCCCCCAATCAAAAAAGAATGAGACAAAAGGAAACAAGGACAGCATAGCTATTATATTCAGCAGATAATTCTTCATGTTGACATGCTATTAATAGTATCATAAGAGGTGACAAGATCCATCGGCTAAAAGAACCACTGGCTAAATATTAATCGGGATACATAAAACATTTTTTTTTAAGAAATGGCATATTTGAAGAAATCATATGGCTAGACAAAACAAACTAGATAGATTGTGAAGCTAGATAGACTAAACCTCAGTCTTGATTACTAATTACAAGCTGAATGTATAAATCTTTTCCTTCAGAGGCATAAAGGTAAGAGTTATGAATCAAATGGAAGGACCAAAATGCTTCCCAATGAAGTATTTTCTTGGTGAAGTTATTGCAATCTAAGGTCTGAAAATCAGCTGTACAGGAACTTTATCAGTAACCTAAAAGATGATCAATCAGCCTCAGTGACTAACGACACTGAGAAGAGACCAACGTAAAAACTAGCACACCAGATTAATTTACCACAAAGATATTCTCACCATAATCAGAAAACCTGCCCTCTATTCAGAGTATTCACTCTTTTTTGGTATGAGTACTAATCTGGCTGGGTTGAATTAGTGCTTAGTTGAATACAGAATTAAAATAATGTGAAGTAGGTCATCTTGTGGGATATATCATGCAGGCCATAAAGAGACCCAATAAACACTTCTGTACCATAGGAGAGGATACACGTCTGGTGACTGTACTGCTCACTTCCCAGATTCACCATCTTCCTTAATTCAAAATGTATCTTTTTCTTTTTTCTATGGCTCATTGCTTTTTCTTTAGAAGTGTTATCACAAGCTATATCAACCTGCTGTTCCCATCAGCTTGCAATGTTAAGCATCCTTCTACTGTGCCCTGCCTAACTATGAGAAGATAAATTCATTTCTCTATTTTCAGCTTCTTAAACAGTCCTTCTGGCATCCCTATGTACCAGCTATAATTTTAATAGAAACTATAAAAACTAGGGGGATTTTTTGTAGTTTTTGTAGGTACAAAAATTTGATTTTCAATATAAATATTACAAAATTCTAAATGAACACAACTCAATACTACAGAAAATTGTAAATCTACCGTGGTTCAAAGCAAGTTGCTAAAACTTATGGCTAGCTCATGAAGAATGTAGGTTGTCTTATATACTTACACAACTATTATAAAAGGAGTCTACATCTGCATAATGCTTTATAAGTTACAAAGTACTTTCCCATCCATTTTAACATCTAATTGTCATAAGCACCAAGTATTTAAATTGAAAGTCTCCAGGAAAGATACTAATGAAAGAGTGTAAAGGAAATAATCCACAACTTAAACTTTTTTTTTAAGAGATGGGTTCTCGCTGTGTTACCCAGACTGGCCTCTACCCTCTACCTGGGGGTTCAAGCCAAGTGATCCTCCCACCTCAGCCTCCCAAGTAGCTGGGACTACAGGAGCACACCACAATGCTTGACCTGAAATTTTAACTTTTAAAGCCATTAAGGTTCTTACTGACAATTTACAGTTGATTTATTAATACACATATATTTTTGCTCTGAAATTAGCAAATATGTTAAGACTATTTGCACATCAGACATGAATTCCTTTCATAAAATACGCCACGAATTCTTAAGGTTCCTACTGACAATTTACAGTTAATTTATTCATACATATATATTTTTGCTCTGAAATTAGAAAATATGTTAAGACTATTTGCACATCAGACATGAATTCCTCCTTTCATAAAATATGCCATGAATTCTTAAGACTGTATATTTTAAAAATAATATTTACATGGGCCTTGAGAAATAAATTGTTCTAAACTAAATGATAATCGCAGTTAGAAAATTATGCAAAATTATAAAACTGATTAGCCTTGGTACACCCAGCGATTCCTTTCTATATCTCTTGTACCAACCAAATACTTCTTCAGGTAGTTGGTATACATATGCACAGTGGTACCTTAAAATTTGGTCTACATAAAAATATACAGTATTAGTCATCTACATCTTAGTGTGAATAAATTTAACTGAATAAATCCACTCTAGGATTTTAAGCCTAATCCCCAACTATGAAATAAGACAAAAATCACACTGTAATGGAATCCAGGTATTAAACCTGGTGACCAGCATTTTATGGAGTCCAGGAAATGATATCACATAAGTACCTGATTATGTAATGTATAAGGTCAGTTCTTATCAAATGAACTGTATCCCCCTGAAGTCCATTAGGTACGGTAAGCCAAAAAATGATTATAGAGCACTACAATAATAGTTTACATCACAAAGTATCTTTTTCTGTGGCTTAGAAATCTTTTCTAAATGAAAACACAACATGAATATAAACATCAATATTTGAAATAGAAAATCAAAGCATTCTTACCTTACTACATCATCAATATTGTTCCTGTATACGCCTTCAAGTCTTTCTGCAGGAAATCCCATAGCAATAATGTTTGGATAAATATCTGAGTACTTTAGTTAAGGAAAGAAATATCTGAAATATGCAGCAATCAAACTAAAAGAATACTTTTTAAAACATTAGCTAGTTATGAAAAGAAAGTTTTCCCCACTATAGCTGGAGTAATAAAAGGTGGTCAATGTATTTATGTATAACCATTTATGTGTTAATACTGGTAAAGATAAAAGGTAACTTCCACATGGACAGTATTCAGGTATATGAGAAAAACAGAAACTCACGGTTTATACATCACAGAACTAAAGTACTTTATGTCAAAAACCAAAAATCAAAACAAAACCCCAAAATTGACACCTGCCTGAAAAGACAAGAGTTCAACTTCTAATTTTTCATGGCTAAAAAAGGCAACACGTTACAGAAAAAAGAAGACACAGTGAAAATCTGGAAGTCAGATTTAAGAGCTGGCTATGTCTCTAACTAGTTGTGTAATTTGGACAAGTCACTTAACCTTTCTAGACCGCAATTTCCTATTCTACATGATAATTAGACTCAAAGAGATTACTACTAAGGTTTCTTCCAGCCCTTGCTATCTATGACTTGATAATACTGAACTGAGGCAGAAACTTCATTTATTATTACTTTCAATCAAACTACAGTTGGCCAATGAACAAAACCGGTTTGAGCTGTGTCGGACCACTTGTATGTGGACCTTCTTCTACCTCTGCCACCCATGAGACAGCAAGTCTGACCTTTCCTCTCTCTCCTACTCCTCGGCCTACTCAAAGTGAAGGCAGTGAGGATGAAGACCTTTATGAGGATCCACTTCCACTTAATGAATAGTAAGTATATTTTCTCTTCTTTATGATTTTAATATTTTTCCTGCAGCTTACTTTATTATACAAATATGCTATCTGACACATATATAAAATATGTATTAACGAACATTATGTCATCAGTAAGACTTCTAGTCAAGTATAGGCTAAATATTAAGTTTTGGGGAGTCAAAAGTTACATGTGAATTTTCAACTGCACAGGGGTAGGCGCCCCTACCCTCTGTGTTGTTCAAGGGTCAACTGTCATGGATATTTAGCATGCCCATTATAGTGAATTATGTTACAGACTATAGCTAGCATAAAAACAAAACTCTACACACAAGAACCATTTATAAACTATAAAAATCATCAACACTCTACGCTTTTATGATTCTTACCCACTCATCATACCAGCTCTCATTTTTTGAGGTACCTCAATCTAATCTCATGATTTTCTGACAGACCTTTCACACCAGCCCAGTCAATCTGCCTAACGCCTCATTTCAAGACCAACTCCAATAATCTCTGCCCACTCACTTCTGGACTCATTTATCTTCCAAATAAAATTCAAAGTTGACCTAATCCAATGCCCTTTTTCTAGGTCTTTTTCTTTCTGCAGCTTTCACATGATTGAGTTGATTTCAGTAGTATTTTCAATCCAAAAATAATTATCAAGTTACTGAAAGCTATTATTTTAATAGCATAGTTTAAGAAAAGGTTATATGTATATGTTCTATCTATAAGATAACTATGTGCTAACTGGAGAGATCTACTGAATATTTTAAGGAAAAAAACCCACCCAATAGAGTATACTGGGTATATCTTTCGTATAGGGATGACAAAAAGAATGTTAACCCATATATTTGCTTGAATGTCAACATCCTCAATAAACATATGCATGCATGAGTGATAAACAAGAAACTAATAAAAATGGCTGCTTCACAGAGAAAGGGAAGAAAAGGGGAAAAGCATAGCAAGAACAGGTAGCAGCAGGACTCCTGTGTATATCTTTATATATTTTTGATCTTAGAATAATATAAAGAAAAAAAAGACTTATAATCTAATAAATTGAACACTGCTAGAAACAAAACTGATTAAATGTCAAATTGGCACCCAGGAGAAAGAGAAAGGTTTTGTTACAAGGGCTATTTGGACACTGCACTTTTACTGCACTTCTTGGTAGGAAGTATTCTAAGAACAAAAAAACACTAGGAAGAAACTTTAAACTTCTTTTGGTAGTTTTACTGATTCTAGTAATATCATTATTGATATCCTCAAACTATTTTCTTTTTTTTTTTTTTTTAAATAGAGACCAGGTCTCATGATGTGGCACAGGCTGGTCTCAAACTCCTGGGCTCAAGCCATCCTCCCACCTTGACCTCCCAAAGTGCCAGGATGACATGCATGAGCCACTACATCCAGCCTCCTCAAACTATTTTATCTTTTTTTTCCCCCTGAAACAGGGTCTCACTTTGTCACCCAGGCTGGAGTGTGGTGGCATGATCATGGCTCACTAGAGCCTTGACCTCCTGGGCTCAGGTGATCCTCCCACCTCAGCCTCCTGAGTAGCTGGGAATACAAGCACATGCCACCATGCCCAGCTAATTTTTTGTAAAGACAAGGTTTCATCATGTTGCCCAGGTTGGTCTTGAACTCCTGAGCTCAAGCAATCCACCTGCCTCAATCTCCCAAAGTGCTGGGATTACAGTGTGAGCCACCGCACCAGGACTATTTTCTTTATGTTGTAGAAATAAGCAAAGAAGTTATGCTAATGACTTTAAGGTTCATAATTTTAAGTTAAGAAAGCAGATAATATTGTAAAATCAAGAAATCATGTAAAAAACTAAAAATATCAGTATGAATTCATGTTTGTAAAAATCTGTTTTCTAGGTCTTTTCTCTGAAATGGCCTAAAAGCAACATCACTCTAGCAGTAATAAACATTCCTAGAACACAGATTTTCATCTCTAATATCATAATAAACTAAAAGGTACCAAACTCCTTGGAAAAAGACTTAATGCCAGGTCTGGAGTAGGGAAGGTACAGGTGAGCCTAGGATACCTTTTCATTCCAAGAGAAGGAGGAAGGCTTATAGAGATTAATGGCCTATATCAAATGGACATAGGAGGTGGTATAAAGGTCCAAATGACTAGCTGTGATAATCTGAGCATCAAAGAAAACATTTAAATGGTACTAACACCCTGAATTAAATAAAAGTCCTTGAGTCTATAAAGACACTCAAAAGAAAAAAGTTAAGGCCGGATATTGTTGGTCACGTCTGTAATCCTAGCACTTTGGGAGGCTGAGATGGGTGGATTCCTTCAGCCCAGGAGTTTGAGGCTAGGCTGGGCAATATGGCAAAACCCCATCTCTACAAAAAATACAAAAAAATTGGCTGGCCATGGTGGTGTACACCTTTAGTCCCAGGCTGAGGTGGGAGAATCATCTGAGCCCAGGGAGACTGAGGCTTCGGTGTACCATGATTGCACCACAGCACACCAGCCTGGGCAACAGAGTAAGACCCCATCTCAAAAAAAAAAAAAAAGTTGAAACAACTAAAAATACCCTTTTTATTTATCATCTTTTGAGGTGGTTAACGGAATAGTTCTTCACTTTGAAAAATGGTAAAGAGTGAGATTTAAGTATTTATTTTGTCTTTCCTATAGAGACTGTATTTAAAGACAAACAAATAGTCCCATTTCACAAGTTCTACCTTATCAAAAAACATCAATTAATAATGTAAAACAATAGAATTTAAAGTCTTATTTTGCAAACCCTGATGAAATTACTGATATACTCAAAGATCAACAAATGGTGTTAAACCAATAGGTGAGTGGTTGATGAGAAAATGAACTTTCTTACAGCACCAAAATACTACTACCCAAAATACTTTCTAATGTAAAGAGACGAATATAATTGAACAATGGGCAGAAAAGACTGTCACTGTCCAATTTCAGTGGCCATCTCCTCATCATGAATCAAGTAAAGATCATGTAACTTCTGACATGCAATATAAAGGACACAGCATCATCTATGATGGTTAAGGATCTTCAACTCAAATCCACCAAGGATTCAGATACAAATTTTAATTTGCAGGAAATACATAGGATAAAACAAGCTAAATGACACTATGAGACAGCAAACTGGACAAATTCAGACAGTTTGTAGGACATGACCCATTCTCTCTTCAACAAGCCAGTATCTTTAAGAAAAAAAAAAGGTGGGGGGGTGGTGGGAGGTGGGGGAAGCGGGAGGATGGGTTGCTGCCCTTGATTTTTAAAGATACAAGATTCCTAACAGCCAATTTCATAGGTGCAATGCTGGCCTGGATACTGTTTTAGCCAAACCAGCCATAAAGGACATTTTTGAGCTAATTGGAAACATTTTAATGTGATCCGGGCATTACACAAGATGAAAAGTTACTGAGATGGAAAAGTAGATGTAAATGACTAAAAAAGGCAGGTTTCAAAACAGAATGTACAATGTAATACCATTTGGATAAAAAGAATACGTATATATCCATATAGACATATATAGACAAAAGATTATAAAGTACTAAAAGTCATATATAGGTGGTGGCATGTATATTTTTTCTCATATTTGCTTGTTTTGTATCTTCTATTTTTGCCACAATGTACCTGTATCGTTTCTGTAACAAATTGCTTAAAATTAGATGTTTTATAATTATCTATTTACTAATTGCCATGACAAAATGCTGTCTTGCCCTGTATGTAGAAAAAGCTCTGTATGCATTTTTTAATGCCAAATTTCTACCAAAAAATTATACTAATAAAAGCATCTAAGATTTAAATTACTATGCCCCAAGAACATTTTTTGTCACTTTAGGAACATACAAATTCACCCTCAGCCTCAAAGGGTTTTTATTATAAAGATTCTAAAAGAAAACTATTAGGATTATCATTTTAACATCACAAATATTTGCTGTCATCTACTACTCTCACATAAGAAAGCTGCCCCAACTCTTAGCCAATCTGACATTTTTTTTAAAAACTGAGAAAAATAAATTTAAAAAATTAGAAGAAAGTAGCCTCACTTAAAAATGTAGCTGTTGTTCAATTATCAAAATGTATTGGGATATTATATCCATTCATTTTAAAAAAAAAAGCAGAAGACAGCAGAGGCCTAAAGTGAAATAATCTTAACTGAGTAATCTTAACTCCACCTTAGAAGACAAATGTAAGAAAATGGAAGACGTCAGAAAAAATGAGGCACCAGAAGCAATGGCAGGGAACCCAAAGTGGTTATAGCTACCAATACTCTGGAATTCCTACTCAAAATTATAAATATATTTTGGCCAAAAAATATAAATTCAAATCATCTATGTTTTTTGAACAACGCAACTAAGAATATTTTATTAAAAGAAATAATTATTAGCACTAACAACCTTACCTAACCTAAACCATTAATTTCAGTGAGAATAGTATTAAGATTTTTATCCTTACAGATATGCACAGAAGTACAAAGCCCCTCCCTTGAAATGTGGTCATTCTAACCAGGGCTAAACTTGAATTTATCCTTGCACTATAAATACTAATTAATAATTAGTATTTAATGCCAGCCTGGGGGAACTTCAGGCTGATGTCTATTTTCTGCTGCTATACAATACCACAGACGGGGTAATTTATAAAGAAAAGAAGTTTATTTCACTCACAGTTCTAGAAGCTGAGAAGTCTAAGATCAAGGGGCTGCATGTGGTGAGAGTCTTCTGGATGCATCATAACATGGTAGAAGGCATCACATGGCAAAAGAGGGCATGAGCACATGATAGAGAAAAAGGGGGCCAAACTCCAGAGATAACTAACCCACACCTGCAATAATGGCATTAATCCATTAATGAAGGCAAAGCCCTTATAATGTAACCACTTCTGAAAGGTTCCACCTCATAATAATGCCACATGGCAATGAAGTTTCAACATGAGTTTTGAAGGAAACAACCAAACCATAGCATTCTGCCCCTGGGCCTCAAAACTCATGTCCTTCTCACCTACAAAATACATTCGTTTCATCCCAATAGACCCTGGGAAGCCCCACCTCCATGGCTTTGCTGTACTTAGCCCATGCAGCTTTCACAGGTTAGGGTCTCAAGCCTGAAGTTCTCCCAGGCTGGCACTGTATACTTGTAGCTCTACAGTTCTGAAGCTTTGGTGGTGGGCCTGCTGCCATGGCTCCATTATGCAATGCCCTAGTAGGGACTCTCTGTAGTGACTCCAACCCACATTTCCACCCTTCAGAGGCTCCAAGCCTGTGGCAAGTCTCTCCCAGACTATCCCCATCATCCTTTGAAATCCTGGTGGTGGTAGCCATGTCTCCCACAGCTCTTTCATCCTGTGAGCCTGCAGAATTAGCACCATATAGACGCTGCCAAGGTTTACCATTTGAGTACTCAGCAGTAGCCTAAGCCACACCTGGGCCCCTCTGAACCAGACCTAGGACAGCCAAGGCCCACTGGGTTGAAATATGGGGAGCTGAGGTAGCCCTGGGCAGCAAGCTTGTGAAGGACCACCTGAGCCACAAACCATTCTGCCCTCCTAGAGCTCTGGGCCTGTGATGGGGCAGGCAGCCTCAAAGATCTCCAAAATGCCTCTGGGGTCTTTTTCCACTGTCTTGATAAATAGCCCTTGGGTCTCCTCTAGGAATATTAATCTCTTCAGCAAATGGTTCCTGGACCACACCCTTGGTTTGCTCTCCTAAACATACCTTTTGCATTCTTTACTATGGCCAGGCTGCAAATTTTCCAAGTATTTCCATTCTGCCTCTCTTTTAATTATAAATTCTGTCTTCAAGTCATTCCCTTCCCCCAGCTTAGTTTAAGTGGTTAAAAGTAGCCATCCAGTAACCTAAATGCTCTGCTGCTGAGTTATTTCTTCTGCAGCATATCCTAGTTCATCACTCTTAAATTCTGCATTCCATAAAGTCTTAGGATATGAACATAATTTCGCCAAGTTCTTTGCAACTATTTAACAAGGATGGCCTTTACTCCAGTGTCCAGTATCTTGTTCTTCATTTCTGAGATATCATCAGAAAGACCTTTACCACTTATAGTTCTACCAACTGATGACAACTCTCTAAGAAGTTCCAGATTTTCCCTACAGCTCTCTTCTTCTGAATCCTCATCAGAATTGTCCTTAATGCTCTATTCTCAGCAATACAGGCTTTTTCTAGCCTGTTCATCCAAACTCTTCCATCCTTCTCTAGCCAGAACCCAAGCCATTTGAACATTTTCAGGTATTTGTTATGGCAACAATCACACTCTTGGTACCAGTTTTCTTAGTAAATTTTATGTTGCTTTACTAGAATACCACAAAACAGGTAGTTTAGAATGAACAGAAATGTATTTGGCTCACGGTTCTGGAGACTGGGAAGTCCAAGAGCATGGCATCAGCATCTGGCAAGGATCTTTGTGTTGAGTTACCACATGGCAGAAGGTAAGGAAGCATGTGAGACGGAGGAGGCCAAACTCCCAAGATAACTCATCCACTACCATTCAAACAGCATTAATCCATTCATAAGGATAGAGATACCATTATCTAATCACCTCTTAAAGGTTCCATCTCTTAATACCATTACAATGGCAATTAAATTTCAACATGAGTTTTGTAAGAGACATTCAAAGCATAGCAGCAAACGTTGCAAAGGATTTAACTCATTTCAGACAAGTCTATAACTATACATAAATGGGTGTTACATAATCATTAAAGTAAATTCAGCTGGCCCCCTCCTTCATTCACATAATCATTCAAACATATATTGAACGTTTTGCACAAGGGGCACTGAGAATATAAGGCTAAGTAAGCAAAGACTACTGTCCTCAAGGCTTTCCTATTCTATTAGGGAAGACAGACACACAGACCTATAATTGTGCCAAAGACCCGATTAGATAAAAAATAAGATAGCTTAAGAGTTAAAGAGGGAAGGATTAATTCTGTGGGGACACAGATAAACCTTCACCAAGTAGGTAATATATTAGATAATCCTTAAGAGTTAAGTCAGAAACCAGTAAACAGAGGAAGAAACAAGAGCAGTTAGAACATTCCAAGCAAAGGCTAAAGTAGACATATGGAAATACATAAAATAATCAGCAAAAAGCAAACAGTCCAGTGAAGCTTACACACAAAGCAACATGGAGAAGGCAGGACTGACAAAGTAAGGTCCAGCTTTAAGGATGCCACGGCAGCGAATTCAATTTAATCAGACAGATAAGGAGTCAAAGACCAGGATCAACATGGAAGACTTTGCAGAGCAGCAAGTCTTGTTCGTGAGCTATTTACTCCTTTAAATGGAGTCCAGGAATTCAATCTTTTTAAGGTTTCATTTTCTTCAGATTCTCACCTTCCTTACTGATAAAGTTTGAGATGTTACCCAAGACATCGGCATCCATCCTAAGTTAGAAAGATGTAGACAACTAGTACCTGTTAAGTATCATGTACCAGACAGTATGCCAAATATATTCTCATTTAATCCTAACAATCCTAAATAGTATTACATTTCATAGACAAAGAAATTGAGAGTCAAAAAGACTGGGTAATTTGCCCAAGTTAGTAACTAGTAAGTTATAATTTGAACCCAGATTATATACGAAGCTCCAAAGCCCAAGCTTTTGACACCATACTGCCCAACGAGAGGAAATTAAGGTTTTTCTATTTCCAAATAAAAATATAAAACTTTCAAAGGAAACAGGTTCAAATAAGTGATTTACTAACCTGTAATTACATTTACTAATAAAATGTAAAAATTGAAAAAATTCCAAGACAGTATGAAAATTTACTGACATTTCCAAAAGTAATGCCAGCAACTACCTAAACAAGCACCAAATCTTGAGGCAAATATTTCTTATGCCACAAATTACACAAATAAACAAAATCTTTCTAATATACATTTATACTTCTCCATATATTATAAAATTTGACATTTTAGAAAAACTAAACAACATAAGAACTGAGGAATATATATACATATAATGATTTCTGATAGAAAACAGCCTTAACCTACACTTACCTGATATTCTTCTGAATAAGTTGAGTGTTTAATACGAAATTTACATATAATGACATAAGTATTAAGCATAAAGATTTATAACAACCAGGTAACCAGAGGAAGATGAGTATTTCTGACATCTAGAGATCTACTTGCAGGCACTACGGCATAATGGTTAATAACATACACTCTAGAACCAACTTGCTAGAATTGGAACCCCAGCTTAACTTATTGTGCAACCTTAGGCAAAATACATACTCTTTCTGTTGCTTCCTAAGCAGAATGGGGCTAATAAAGGTACCTATCATATAAGGTTGCTATGAGGATTAAATGAGCTAATATATGAACAATGCTTAAAACATAGTGATAGCTGTCTCTCAACTGAACAAATGGTAATGCCTTATCCCATAAGACCCCACTGTAACTACTTTTCTTTCAACGACAGTGACTTGTGGAATAATCTAAACTTTCTAAAGAACATCAAAGCTTAACAAAAAGTTTTACTCTTTGAAATCCTTAATGTATCAATTTGCCTTTTAAGTATTTACTTTATTATAACTTAAGAACATATCTAAAATACAATCCCAAAAGAAAAAAACAGTGTCTCTGTTTTAGATTTGGGAACACTAAATTTTCAGTATGTGTTTGCTTATTTGTATTTTCTAATATTTCTATGATGATTACAAATTACTCATGTGATTTTAAAAATGCCATATGCTAGCACAGGTATGTATCCCTTATGATGAATGTCATCTTTTTATTTTATCAAATATGAATTTATAGTTAGCTATTATTCTTGGGTTAATAAACTAACATTTATTTTTAAAATAGAGCTTATGACTTTTACTATTTTAAAAGTAAACATGGCCAATATAGGAAATGAGAGAGATAAATATAAAAGATACTAATACAAATCTAGTGTTCAATGGTAATATCTATTAAACTTCTTAGATTTCTATTTCTTTATAACTAATTTTTGATGGAAATAAAAATGTTGGTTACATAGTGATTACTGTATTATAAATACAATATATCCCATTACATTTTTCAAAAATTTATTATATTTTCCTGATACGAAACTTGGGAATACAATTTTAAATGACAATATAACATTATATTGATGGGTGTACCATGGTTAATGAACCATTTTACTACTATTGGACATTTAACTAGTTCACAATTTTTAGGTATTATGACTAACATTGCAACAAACACCTCTATGTTTATGTCTTTTTAATGTTAGTGGTCATTTATTTAGGAATCAGGCTACCTGTGTTCAAATCCCAGTTCTAATACTTTGGCCATGGGCAAGTCACTTAGCCTCTCTAAACATCACTTTCCCCATCTTTAAATGGGAATAATTCTAGTATGAACTACATAGGGTTGTTGTGTTGAGGATTAAATGAGTCCAAAGTATATAAGGCACATAATAAGCACTCAATATATACTAGCGATAAAATATCTCCTGAATTATTAAAAAGTTCTTTTTCTCATAATATCAGTGATTACTGTATATACAATAAGAAAGGTAAAAGAAATGCATACATGGTACTAGCTATCTTGCCTAAGTTGGATGGTCACCCCAGCTCCAACAGATCTCAGATATATTAGACAGTTTCCCCCCACCTTTGTGTAAACATGCTAAATTTGTTTTAATTGAGGTATAATTCAAATAAAACAAAATACACAGATCTTAAGTGATTAGTTTGTTTTGACTGGTAAACTGCATATGCCATGTTTGGACAGTCTTGATTTAGGTGTTACAAGAATCCTTTCTCACCAAAGAACAAATACCGTCCCAAAGAAAAAATGTAATTAATAGCAATTAAGTTCTAAAGTCTGTCCACAAAAATCAATTTAATCCATAATATAACTAAACTATATTTGAAATAATGTGGCTGTTTTACCAGCTAAGTAAATTTTTATTGCCTGTTCTAGGCATACAATCATGACTTGAAACACTAGAAATATGTTCCAAGTTACATCTAAATAACAAAATATCTTTTCTTGAACAACTTCCGAGTTGACATCCAAATAATGTATCTACCTTATCTCAAATCTGTACTTGCATCTAAATTAATAGGGTATATGCTAGAAATTTAACTACAATTTTCAAGTAGGATATAGTAACTAAAAATAGCTCCCTAAACCTTATTTCATAAGACTGTGTTCCTGACATGTACACTAAATCTTATTTTAACTATGATGGTTTGCTAAAAATAAAGCCATTGTAAAAGTTTCTTTGTAGTGCTTAATATATAGGTATGCTTATCCTTAAACAACTTATAAAGTAAAATGCAATAACTACTTTTCTGCCATAGAATAATTATTTCCACAGATCACAGATATTTTTTAAATTATAGCTAAGTAAAAGTTGCAGTAACAATATGAAACTATAACATATACATGAAACATTAATGATAAAATGAAAGTGATAATACAGCTTTAGAGGTAATGAACAAAGAGCATCAAAAGCAAAGTCTGAAGCTGCCTGGCTCATAAAACACTGAGCTAAACCAGTAGCCAGGGTGAAAGAATTAATGAAGTCAGACTAAGAAGAAAAGATAACAGGAATGGAAGGCAAGTTAGCAGATACCAGGACTTTATCATTTAATTTTATTTCGTAGGAACTTCTGGAGCTTTTTCCCTGATTTCCATCAGTGCTTTCAAGTAACACACAGTTAGGGTTCTTGTGAGCAAAAAAGAAACTCAACCACTGATTCATAAGTTACATCACATTTACATTTCTTTTCAAAATTTTAAGTTTAAACAAGTATTTTCCAATTATGTCACAGTTAAATCCTTATTATCAACTTTTCTAATGAAATCATGCTTTAAATACAAATCTGATGAACTTCTATGACTTTCTCATTTAATCAAAGATTTTACATTTGTTACTAGGTTTTTTTTTCCTATTAATAAGCTATGTTGAATTGTTAATGATGGACTCTCATTTCTAAATTGAAGATTCATATTGAGCAGAAAGCAGAAAGAGCAGTTCCTTGAATTTTCCAGTTGAAAAAGTGCCAACTGTTCATTATTTAAGAACAATTTGTCCTAAAGAGCTTCTGCACAGCAAAAGAAACTACCATGAGAGTGAACAGGCAACCTAGAGAATGGGAGAAAACTTTTACAATCTACCCATCTGACAAAGGGCTAATATCCAGAATCTACAAAGAACTTAAACAAACTTCCAAGAAAAAATCAAACAACCCCATCAAAAAGTGGGCGAAGGATATGAACAGACACTACTCAAAAGAATACATTTATGCAGCGAACAGACACATGAAAAAATGCTCATCATCACTGGCCATCAGAGAAATGCAAATCAAAACCACAATGAGATACCATCTCACACCAGTTAGAATAGTGATCATTAAAAAGTCAGGAAACAACAGGTGCTGGAGAGGATGTGGAGAAACAGGAACACTTTTACACTGTTGGTGGGACTGTAAACTAGTTCAAGTCAGTGTGGCAATTCCTCAGTGATCTAGAACTAGAAATACCATTTGACCCAGCAATCCCATTACTGGGTATATACCCAAAGGAGTATAAATCATGCTGCTATAAAGACACATGCACATGTATGTTTACTGCAGCACTATTCACAATAGCAAAGACTTGGAACCAACCCAAATGTCCATCAATGATAGACTGGATTAAGAAAATGTGACACATAGACACCATGGAATACTATGCAGCCATAAAAAAGGATGAGCTTCATGTCCTTGGTAGGGACATGGATGAAGCTAGAAACCATCATTCTGAGCAAACTATCGCAAGGACAGAAAACCAAACACCGCGTGTTCTCACTCATAGGTGGGAACTGAACAATGAGAACACTTGGACACAGGGTGGGGAACATCACACACCAGGGCCTGTCATGGGGTATGGGGAGGGGGGAGGGATAGCATTAGGAGATATACCTAATGTAAGTGATGAGTTAATGGGTGCAGCACACTAACATGGCACATGTATACATATGTAACAAATCTGTATGTTGTGCACATGTACCCTAGAGCTTAAGGTATATAAAAAAAGAGCAATTTGTCCCAATATGTAAAACATATAATCATTCCTGTACAGATCAAATTAATGCAGCCTGAAATCTTATTTTCTAAAGAGAAAAAGGTACATAGGTACAAAGTTTGAACTATAAATATTAAGAGTGCTCAAAAAATGGCGTTTTAAGAATAAAGAAGGAATAGTCAGGAATAACACAGGAACATTTAAATATTTACTAGGTACCAAATCCTGTGCTAAGTACTTAATGAATATTGTCATTTAATATAGAAGAACAAGGTTCTACTTCCAGCTATGCAATCTAAAGCCTATAACCTCAGGTAAATCACTCAATCTCTGGGCCACATATATTTTTGTTTTGTTCTTCTGTAAAATAATGATAATACCACTTGCTGTAACTTCTTCATTAATTGTTTCAAGGACCAAATGGGATACATGAAAATATCTATAAAATTGCAAAGGACTCTATAATTGTAAATAAGGGGTTGTTATTAGATGGTGCATGAATTCTGTTATTTAAATTTAGTTTAAATGTCTCATTACAAGGCAACTCAATATGGTGTTTTTATAAATAAATTGTAAAAGAAGGAATTCTGGTATATTAATTAACTTAAATTGACTTTAGTATAAATTTTAGGTTCCTTCTAACACTTTCTAGTTAATCTGCTGTCAGTGCCAAACCAGAAAGGAAGACTGCCTATCTATAAACTCTACTGAAGTTTTCTACTTCTCCAAACAACCTGACCTCACAACTTTCATGTTTTTATATTATATGAATTTGTCATGAGTAAGAAATTTGCACATACTTTTTGCTTTGAAACAGAAGTTTAGATATCTTCCTAAATGCAATCATCACACTCTTCAAAAGTAACATCAAGACTTGCTAGTAATTCTTCTCCTTGTTAGCAATACTACAAACTCGTTCATTTGGCAACAAATCTGCAACTTGTAAAAAAAAAAAAAAAACTAAAATACTGTACACTCTTTAATCCTGTAATCCCACTCTAGCAATATATTCTAATAAACCAAAAGTAAACTACATAAACATATTCACAACTATAGTTTATAAAAGAAAAAAAAAACGAAAATAACCCTAACACAGTATAGCAAACAAACCATGGTAGTTACCCTCACCTGATGAAATATTACCTCTATAGCTTTAAAAATAAGTACCTGGCGACAAATAAAAAGTGTATTTGTGAAAAAAACAGACCAGAGAACAGTATGAAAACATTGATTACAACTTTGTAATAATGTGCATATAACAAACAGGGAAACATAATTTCCAGTGACACAACATCTAAAATAGAACTAACTTTTTTCCCAGTTGAACTCATTAAACTTAAGAACCATTTTTAAAGCTATCCAAACCAGATACAGGAAAATTACACACAGTTTTACAAAATTTAATCTTTAAGGGAACAATCAAGGTGATCTGAACCCCAATTATTTAAAGTTAAGCAAATTAGAACCTCAGGAAGATATCAAGTCACTGATAATGTTAACAATACTCTAAAATCCATAGTATAATTTAGTATATTAGCTGAGAGTGTACTAGACTTCTCAACTATTTTAATCAATTTTTCTTCATAGCAGGTGTTAATTATGAAATAATCTATCGCCAGACACGGTGGCTCACGCCTGTAATCCCAGCACTTTGGGAGGCCGAGGTGGGTAGATTGCCTGAGCTCAGGAGTTCGAGACCAGCCTGGGGAACACGGTGAAACCCCGTCTCTACTAAAATACAAAAAATTAGCCGGGCATGGCAGCATGCGCCTGTAATCCCAGCTACTCAGGAGGCTGAGACAGGAGAAACGCCTGAACCTGGGAGGCAGAGGTTGCAGTAAGCCAAGATCGCGCCACCGCACTCCAGCCTGGATGACAGAGAGAGACTCTATCTCAAAAAAAAAAGAAAAAAGAAAGAAAAAAAAAGAAATCATCTATCTACAACTGCTCAAGCCTACATCTGTGATCCTCTAAAAATTTAAGTTGCCCAACCAACTGGTTTTAACGAGTATACCAAACAATTACCTTCTTCCTAGGTCTCTGGATGAATATGATAAGACTGGTTTCCTGTTTCAGAACTCTCCTGCTGTTAAAATACACACACACACACACACATATACACACACAGACACACATTCCTCTACAGTTTTGCTCTCGCTAAAAACATCTAAGACCGATCACTAATGACGAATGAAACAAAATAGATATAACTTACCTATCAGCTTTCAAAAATATTATTAGTTCAATGACGTGTCAGATATACTTGTCAACAGCATTATACTTGAACTAAGCCAAATGCCAACTGTTAATTTTCTACAGCAAAATCACAAAAAAAGCATATGAAAAACTGTAAAAAGTTAAAACTGTAATGCTGACCCAGCATTATCATAAATTTCCTAAGTGTCTTTAATACACTTAGATTTATAAGTTAACTTCTGTAATATCATTCTGCTTACAAAAGCTATGCTTTTATCATTTATTTTGCCAGAGGTGATTAACCTAAAACAGGTTTTGGCTACTCTATAATTATGCAGAAAGACATAAGGCCACTAATTTTTACAGCAAAAAAGATATTCAAACAGGTAAAGTGCAGAAGATGTTAAGGGATATCAGCATCTTGAAAAACAAAGATCTAGTAATATTTAGTGCATATTCTCTCAACATTAGCTGCATTTTGAAAAAATAGGGTTCCAGAATTTCCATACGCAGTAATTATGCAGACCTAACCATCAACTAATTCACCAATATTTGAAACCTACTATAGGTAAGGTACTCAGAAAACAAAGTTCTAATACAAATGCGTCTCCGTCTCCGGCAAGGAGGTTTTCTTTTTCCAATAAGCCAACTGCAAAACTTTTATAGTTGCTAATAACAATCAAAATTTACCTGTAATCCCAGCACTTTGGGAGGCCGAGGCAGGCAGATCACGAGGTCAGGAGATCGAGACCATCCTGGCTAACACGGTGAAACCCCGTCTCTACTAAAAATACAAAAAATTAGCCGGGCGCCACCGTGGTAGGCGCCTGTAGTCCCAGCTACTCGGGAGGCTGAGGCAGGAGAATGGCATGAACCTGGGAGGCAGAGCTTGCAGTAAGCCGAAATCGTGCCAGTGCACTCCAGCCTGGGTGACAGAGCTAGACTCCGTCTCAAAAAAAAAAAAAAATTTACCTTTCAACGTCCTCTTAATCTGAATATTTAAAAGAGAAAAGTTCCAAACAAGTGTGTGCTAGATTGCATCATTTTATATTTGGCTTTAATGTAATAAAATCAAGTCTCTTTATTCTATACTACAAGCCAGGAAAATTGGTTGGAAATGACTTACTTTTTTTCCAACTGGTAAAAATAGCTTTGCCTAAGTGCTGCAGAATTTTAGTCGAAGAAAAACATAAACTAGAAATGCATGTGAATTTTTAAATATGAAAGCCAACATATTGTCTGTCATTCATTACTATATTAGTAAGAATCATAGGAGATTGTTCTAATAATACAAATATCTAACAATATTAAATGATTCCTATTCCCACTGAAGGTTAACTATTATATCAACTTTATAATCATACTTGACAATTCATTCTTAAGTAGTGCATAATCAAAATATCTAAAATAACATACACCAAAATACTAGTCAAAATCATATTTTAAATTTTAGTAATATGCAATTTTAAAATATATTAACAGAGTCAACAGTAAGTCTGCATTGCTTGGTTTGAATAGATAACACCCTTAGTTTTAATAAACTACTATAAATGCTTGTTATTGAAGGGATACCATTTTATTATGAAACCAGTTATTGTAATAGGGGAAAAAGTACAATTACTAATTATGATTAGCTGTAGAATTTTCATATTTAAAGGACATATAAAAAAACAGAAAATATTTAGGCTGAAACTTCAAAGAAAAAACTAATTAAGTTAACCATTTCAACAAGTAAATAAGCTTTTAAAACATACAAGTTTAATACCTGGGAAGATAAGAGTACCAACAGTTAGATGGGAGGGATAGGAATAAAAACAAGGGACAGAAACACATAACACCTCTCACACCCTTTAAATACTATTAAGTAAACAGAATAGGTAACGACTTTTAAACTTTTAATATTCAGGTAAAAATCTCACCTACATATGTGCCTCACTTAATGTAAGAGATATAATTTATGTATATATGTCTATTCAGAAAGGCCCAAAAGGTATTTTTTTCATAGCCTCCAATTCAGTTCTCACCAAAGTCTACAAACTGAGTCTAGTAAACCAATCTACTTTCCTCACAGATTAATCTGAAAATTGGCAAGATGTTTCTCGTAAAAAAAAAAAAAAAAAAAAGGCCACAGACACAAAGTTGCATTTGAAAATGTAAATTCAAAATCATATCTAAACTTAAAATATTATTATGTTAATCATTTGGCATAACAAATTTCTCAAGAAAATGTCAACATACTAAATGAAACAAGGTAGATTAAATCAATCAGATTCTATAATATTAAGCCAAATACACAATTTTAAAGATTTACACAATTTGGTAAGACCAAATTCTTGTGAGTGAAAATTAAAGAAACAACTTCTATAGTGGCCTAAAATGCAACAGCAAAATTTTAAATGGGGAAGCTCATTTGCATACAGACAAGAATTAAGTTGTAGAAGATGAAGAAAAGAACTTGAAAAATATTTAAACAAATTTTTAAGAAATTCTTATTAAATCAGTTCCCTGATTGAGTCCTGTAATACTAAATTCTTATATATCTCAACCAGTTAGGAAAACTAGTTTAAAATATCAAAATCTTGTATAACTTAATTTCTCAAGTTAAAACATGATGTCCAGTTAACTATCCAAACAATCGAGGGAAAAAAAAAACCAAATGACTGAAGGCCAGGCGTTTATTACACAATCTTTAGTTCTCAGCCAGTATCTGTATTGTAATAGAAAAATATAAATAACAGTATAACTATTAGGTTTCATTTTTGCAAACGTTTAAAATTTGATATTAGTCTTTATAAAAATCATAATTAGATTATTCCAAAAACAGTGGTGTCAAAACCACTTATATCACTAAATTATCTTAACTTTTTCATACATTTGAGTAACAGATGGTAGGCCTTAGTTCTTGGACACTACACAATAATCACAATCTGTGTGACCTTTTCAGTATTAAAAAAAATCCAAATAGTATTATTAAGCAGCACGTTAGCATATTTTATAGTATTATATATAATCACAACCACAATCTAGATATGTAAAACTATGTCATACTTTCAGTATACTAAGCTATTTTATATAGATTTCCTACAGCTAGTCCATGAAAGATACTCAGATGTAAGAGTGTTTCTTAGGTTGTCAAAAAGCATAAATGCATACACTCACAAACAAAATATTTTTGCCATCCCTGTTTTCATTAGCACCCCACAAGAAGGTATATACCACACCTAGATCAAAATTTCCTTAAGTTTAACAGTCGCAACAATTTTACCTCATTTGGGAAAATGTTACTCTAACAAGTAATCTGGCTTTTAATTAAAAAGAGACTAATTTGTTTCTACCTCAATATTTTAAATATTTTTTGTTCTAACTATATGAATAAATGAATACCACCTCATGATAAAAAATTATAATTTAATAAAGTTAAGGTTATTTGTTTTAGTATCTGACACTTAAAAATTAAATCTGATAAAACATATGCAAAATTTTTAAGCACAAATACTAGTACTGATTTAAAACGCAAATAAATAGCAAATTGATCAATTAATATCACAATGATTACCTGGGCAACTGTGCAAATATAAACCGTATCATTCAAAATATGCTTCAGGGAACAGTAACATCATTATAAGCCCATACTCCTTCTGATTAAAAAAACAGAAAGCAATAGTGTTATTACCACTTTACTATAAAAATGATGTGGCAGTTTATTCTAATTACCTTCTATATCCACTTTAATTTCAACACAATGTAATGTTCTTACAACAGGAAAAGGAAATGATAGATCTAAAGTATTCAGCTAAATTTTACTTTGTCTCACTTAAATAAGTAAAATATGCTTTCAGTATTAAATACAAGTAGAGTTACTATATGTAATTCGGGGGAAAAATCTTCAAGGCTCTAACACTTCAGTTAGGTTTGTATAACATTATGATTTCATGAATCAAAACCATGAAAATCCTCTCTAATGTTTAGGTTATCTTAAATCCACTTAAAAAATCACAAAATAAAAAAATGGAAACAAGCTTAATAAATGTATAAGTATAGGAAAATAAATATTTCTGATGATTTCACCATTTAATTAAGGCAACGACAAAGTGCAATGGAAATTGTTTTTTAAAAAGAACACCCTCTTAAGTTCACCATGAACTAGGTTTTAAAGTATATGCATATGAACAAAACTGGAAGCTAATATGAAAACATTAAGTTTTAGAGAAGTAGGACAGTGGGTGATTTTTAAAATTCTCTTTAGTCATGTTTTTAATAAAAGAAATTTTCTTAAGTACAATAAGCACATAGTTTTCATTCATATACTGAAATAAACATCATAAGCCTTATTCAACTGAATTGTAACAATGAGTCCTATTTGTCTTAAATAATTGGTATCTCAAAATATCCCATATTTCAAAAGGAATTAACAGTCAAATCTTAAATTTCTTAAGAATTTAAAAAAAAATAAGGCCTTGACATTTTATTCTGCATTCAAAAGTGAGAGGCAAAGCAAACTGTAAAATCATGCAAACAGAAAAAAAATCACAGCAATCTATTCCTAGAACCCTTTTGTAATTACATTTGCCTGCCCTAAAAACAAAACAAAACCAAAAAATTCAGAATCCACTAAAGCTACCTTCTTGGCATCTTCCCATCTCTGGGCTAACCTAAAACTCCATTCCGATTTTGTTTCTTTTTTTCTAAAACTTCACTTTAATACAAGTTTCTAATTTAGATAAATAAAGCACTTTAATTCAACAGGCTGGCATAGCAAATTTAGGGCCTAGAAAAGAATGCAACACATGGATCAAAGAACCTTAGAGTCAGCCCTATTTTCTTTACTTAGAAATATTTAAGTTTGTATAGCTCGTTGGAAATTTGCAATTTTACATTGTACATTTAACTTCATCATATCTGACTATAATAAAAGCAGCTTTAGAATAAAAAAGCATAAGGTCAAAGAATACATTAAATAACAAAATAGTAAGAGAAAAGTAACTCCCAACAGTTCAACAACTACATAATTAAAGGAAAAAGGATTACTTTAAAAACTACTAGCAAAATTAAAAAAAAAATTAAACATCCTTCTGAATACTACGTACAGTATTAAAAACACTTACGGAAAACATCTTCAACCTTTTCTAACAGAAGTTCAAAGCAACACTTTCACAATCAGCCAAAGAACACATGAGTCCTCTTCAAATAAACCTTTTTTGTTATTAGGGATATCTTCTGTGGACAAAGTTCTTATTATCATATAAAGAATACTGGCCTAGCAGCAGTCAGAACACCCAGATGTTAGGACTAACTCCATCACTGATTTAGTAAGTTGACCTTCTTAAATATCACACCTGGGGGCAAAGGTACTGATTTTCATCAAATATTATACTTATTATATACCAGACATTTTACACAGCATTTTGGGCTAGATAATTCTTTGTTGATGGGGAGGGGTCTTGTGCCATATAGGATGTTAAGCAGCATCACTGGCTTCAAGCCCCTAGCCAATAGCACACTCTACCACCCCAGCTGTGACCACCAAAATGTCTCCAGAAAATGCTAAAAGTCCTAGAGGAGGTGAAAGGGGATCACTCTCAGATGGCAACCAATACTCTGAAAAAAACCTCACCTGTACTTTTAACAAAACTAAAAAACCACTGTACAAGTTTAGGATTTTTACTCCCATTTTGGAGTTGTCGAAACAGGGTTCACTAAGGTTAGGCAGTGTATCTACGTAACTGATAAGTGGCTGAGCGGGGATGTATTTATTTATTTATTTTTGAGAGAGGGTCTCACTCTGTCACCCAGGCAGGAGTACAGTGTCCCAATCACAGCTCAATGCAGCCTCAAAGTCCCAGTCTCAGGTGATCCCACCTCAGCCTCCTCAGTAGCTGGGACTACCAATGCGCACTATAACACCCGACTAATTTTTGTATTTTTTTTTGTAGAGACAGGGTCTGCCTATGTTGCCCAGACTGGTCTCGAACTTCCAGACTCAAGCAATCTGCCAACGCTGGCCTCCCAAAGCACTGGGATTACAGGCATGAGCCACCACGCCCAGCCTTGAGCAGAGATTTAATCTGGACTTTAGGTCTAGCCAACTCCAAATCTATGCTCCATTCCACCATACTGCCTTTCTAAACTCACTATCTCGTCTATAAAATCAGGATAACATTTTCCATGCAAAGTTACTTAGAGTTTACAGGTCAAATGAAATAATGCATGTATAAATTCTAATAACCTAAAGGAGTATAACATGTTAAGGGTTTGCTTGGTGGGAGATAATGTTCATTGGTGGTCCTCAAAGTGTGATCCCCAGAGCACCAGCATCAGCATCACTTGAAAACTTCTAAGAAATAAAAATTCTCAGGTCCCAATCCAGACCTACTGAATCAGAAACTCTGAGGGTGGAGTAAGCAATCCATAGCTTAATAAGCCCTTCAGGTTGTTCTAACACACTGAAGTTTAAGAACCACTCATGTAACATAATGGGAAAAATACTGCACCAAGTGCCAAAAAAGTCCTGCATCCTTCTTCAGACTCAGTCTTTCACTAGCCATTAACAAGATACTGATTCCACTGGAGCTACAATTCCTAAGCTGCAAAAAATAAATAAATAAATAAATAAATAAAATAAAAAAGAAAGAAAAATAAAAGTAATGCCTGTTCTGTCTGCCTCTTAGGTTACCTGTTCTTCTTTGCAAAATCAAATGAGCTAATGATTTAAAAAGTGTATTGTTAATCAAAAACTACATAAGACAGAGTATATATTAGCTAATTCAGTATCTTTCATAAATGATTCTTTCAAGGTATACAATAAATTTTACAACATGGTCAAATTAAGCCTAGCAAAACACTGTTTTTACCTTATAAAAATGAATAAAATAAATTTTAAAAAATCCCAGGCATTCCATTTTATCGCTGACAATCAGTGTAAAATAATTTATAATACACACTAAAAAAAAAACCTAAAAAATCAAGCTTAATGACATCCCCAAAATTTCATTTTAAAAGTACAGTTTTCAATTCTATCTAATTTCATCTCCAATCAGTTTAGAGTAACCAGAATACTCAAAAAGAAGTCTCACAAAGAGAGGGAATTTTAAATGGAAAAGAATCCTGCATTTTGAAATAAGCAAAAAGTTTGTAACTTTAAACATGTATACGATATTTATGAATCACTCTAAAAATACATCTATTCATGCCAGCAATGGTGGGTTAAATTTTTAAACGCATCTAATTAAAAGAGTATCTGAGGCCGGGCGCAGTGGCTCATGCCTGTAATCTCAGCACTTTAGCAGGCTGAGACAGGCAGATTACCTGAGGTCAAGAGTTCGAGGCCAGCCTGACCAACATGGAGAAACCCCCCATCTCTACTGAAAAAAAAAATATAAAATTAGCCGGGCGTGGTGGCGCATGCCTGTAATTCCAGCTACTTGGGAGGCTGCGGCAAGAGAATTGCTTGAACCCAGGAGGCGGAGGCTGTGGTGAGCCGAGATCACACCATTGCACTCCAGCCTGGGCAACAACAGCAAAACTCCATCTCCAAAGAGTATCTAATTCAAATCACAATGCATTTCATAATACCTTAAATAATTACATCCTCTTCAAAAGATCAAAAGTATTAAACAAATAAAATTCACAGAATACAATCTTTGCAATTACTAGTAAAGAACAGAGAACCTTATTGTACTTCAGCCTGAAAATCTACAAAAATCAAAGGAAATAAAAGTCAAAGCTATGCTTAAGTGCTCTAATATTAAATCAACAGTAAGTCTTAGGTAGTGATCTAAAGCAAAAACTAGGTGCAAGGAGAGAGATTGATTTAGAAAACTCAGCTGTGCTCAGATGCCAAAATGCACAATTCAATTCTACAACCTAGACATGGACCAAAAATACAGCTAGTTTACAAAACACATAAAATGCATAAAAATCACATAATCAGAAAGTCACATAGTATCAGACAGAGTGTATTCACTCTGCAATATAAAACACACACACAAAAAATCCACTCACTAGAAGTCAAGTGCTTCACTACTAAGAGTGCTGTGGTACATCTGGGAAATCAGTACAGCCCAAGGGGGGGAAAAATAATAATCCCTATGTACACATAATGGCCTTTACTGGACAGATAAGCTTATTCCATCTTTCCCCATATTCAATTAAAAAAATGAAGAAAAAAATCCTTTAGTTCTTTACTTCTTTCTTCCCACGTCTTGGGCCTAAATCATATTGAGAATCCTGGCCAAATGTGGAAATAGGACTCAATAATACAGAGACTGAATACTTTAAAAGTTCCCATATTATGTTAATGCATTACAGATTATATTAAGTGTCCATTTTATTGTAATAAATGTAACTTGACATTCAGTTGCAAGACTCCCTCAAAAGGCTGAAATTTTCAAAAGGAAATGCTAAAAAATATACCTCTATTGACCAAAGTTTACATAACTCATATTAAGTTTATTACATTTGAGGCAGAGTTTACTTTATGTGAATAAAAATGTATGATAGTTAAGTTGACCTATCTTCAACACTAAAGAAAATTTAAGATTATAACAAAGTTTAAAAATTCTACTTCATTATGCTAATAGGAAGTTTTTGCCTTTTATATTTTAAAGCAAATAGTTTTTGATTGGCATAATTAATTTTACTTTGGTCAACAGTTTGAGTTAGCAGAGATTTATTT